>NC_000009.12:37131212-37282727 GCF_000001405.40 Homo sapiens | reverse complement strand
TGCTGATTTTTAAATTTTTTTTGTAAAGATGGGATCTCATTTTGTTGCCCAGGCTGGTCTTGAACTCCTGGGCTCAGGTGATCCTCCTGTCTTGTTTAAACTTTTTTTTTTTTTTTTTTTTTTGAGACAGAGTCTCACTCTGTCTCCCAGGCTGGAATGCAGTGGCAGGATCTTGGCTCACTGCAAGCTCTGCCTCCCAGGTTCATGCCATTTTCCTGCCCCAGCCTCCTGAGTAGCTGGGACTACAGGCACCCACCACCACGCCTGGCTAATTTTTGTGTATTTTTAGTAGAGACGGGGTTTCACTGTGTTAGCCAGGATGGTCTTGATCTCCTTGACCTAGTGATCCGCCTGTCTCGGCCTCCCAAAGTGCTGGGATTACAGGCGTGAGCCACCATGCCCGGCCTTGTTTAAACTTTTAAAAAATCATGGTGAAATATAGAAAACATAATATTTACCATCTTTACCATTCTTAAGTGTACAGTTCAGTGGTATTAAGTACATTCAAATTGTTTTGCAGCCATCACCAGAATTATTTTCATCTGGCAAAACTGAAACTATTAAACAAGTTAATATTTTATTTTTGATAGAAAACATGGAGGGTACATTCTTACTCTACTGACATGGCCTCAAAATCCTGAGACTGGAGCTGATTCTGAAGAAAATGAAAAGCTTATTGCTCAGCTCTCAAAAGGTTTAAGATAGAAGAGAATTAAAAATTGTAAGGAAGTCTGAACTCTGGGACCTTAGGAACCATACGTGGGAGCAGGAATAAAGTGCATGTCTTTATTAAGAAGAAGAATTTAAATGCAGAATATTAACGAGTATTTAGCTGTATTTGCATATTGTAAAAACCAAAGGAGGTCATAATTCAGCTGTTTTATGATAGAGTTCTCAAAAATCCTTAGCCTAGGAAATAAAACCTGCCAGGTAAGTAGGTTGGTTACAGGTGGGGAAGCCATTATTAATGTGTATATGCTGAAGTTAATGTTTACAGACAAGCTTAAGCATTTCCTTCCCTTAGCAACTGCTAGTCCTGAAAAGCATTCCTGTAATACAAAACGCCATACCAAACAGTGTAAGTGCATCTCTCAAAATGAGATTCAAAATGAGATTGATATAGTACAATCACATGTGATAAAATATGTATTTATAGAGACTTGAGGAATATTTTCTTAGTTTATTTTCTGAGAATCTGTTTTGTGTACCAGCTTGACACTATATACGAAGTGGAGACTCATATATGCTATATTTAAAGAAGTTGCACATAAAGAGTTTATAATTCATCTTTTCCTAAATATGGGAGAAAAACTCAAGAGGAAAACACACACAAAACTGAGAGAATTTCACCTCTATGTCACAATCTCTTCTATTTGTGTATTTTTCTCTCTTTTTAATAAAAGAATATTAGAGGGCAGGTGTGGTGGCTCATGCCTGTAATCCCAGCACTGTGGGAGGCCGAGGCAGGAGGATCACTTGAGCCCAGGAGTTTGAGACCAGCCTGGGCAATATAGGGAGACACTGTCTCTACAAATAATTTAAAAATTAGCTGGCCATAGTGATGTACGCCTGTGGTCCCAGCTACTCAGGAGGCTGAAGCAGGAGGGACCTTAGGAACTATACATGGGAGTAGATATTAGCTCTAGTAGATATTAACTCTACTTAGAGTTAGTATCATACAATTTATGAAAAATGTTAAGAAACTTGTAACCATATGACTCTATTTACCTGCCTATCCCAGTCCTTTCTGATATAGTTGCCATATGTATTACATCTACATATAAATCACACATTATTACTTTTTTTTTGCTTTCAACATCATATACATTTGAAACAAATTAAGAGGATAAAAAAAGACCTGAGTCTGGGAGGCCAAGGCTACAGTGAGACATGATTGTGCCTCTACATTCCAACCTGGGTGACAAAGCAAGACTCTGTCTCAAGAAAGAAAGACAAAGAGAAAGAAAGAGAGAGAGAGAGACAGAGAGAAAATCAGAGAATCATCTGTAACAATTAGCTAATCAAGCAGTAACAAAAAAAAGTTTAATGAATTTTTAATTTAGTAGTATATTATTTAATTTCCCAATATTTGGGGACTTTCCAGATTTTTTTTTTTTTGCTATAGATTTCTAATTCTATTGTGATCAGAGAACTTTCCAGATTTTTTGTTATTGATTTCTAATTCTATTATGATCAAAGAACAAAGTCTAAGATTTCAATCTTTTGAAGCTTATTTTATGGTCCACCATATATATGGTCTATCTTGCTGAATGTATACTGGAAAAGAATGCATATTCTATAATTATTGGATTTTGTGTTCTATAAATGCCAATTATGTCAAGGTGGGTGGTATTACATACAGTATTACTCTGATCTTCTATGTCCTTACTGGTAGTTTTAATCTACTACTTCTGTCAATTATTGAGACAGGTATTCAAACTTCCAATTATGGTTGTGGACTTCTCTATGATGAGGAGATCCTTTAATCCCGTCAAATTTTGTTTTTATCTATTTTGAAGGTCTGATTCCAGTACCTTCGTTGTTTACTTGACCCTTTTATCTTTCTGAAACATCCCTTTTTTTTTTTGAGACGGAGTCTCGCACTGTTGCCCAGGCTAGAGTGCAGTAGTGGGATCTTAGCTCACTGCAAGCTCCGCCTCCCGGGTTCGCGCCATTCTCCTGCCTCAGCCTCCTAAGTAGTGCCTGACGCCAGGACCGGCTAATTTTTTGTATTTTTAGTAGAGACAGGGTTTCACTGTGTTAGCCAGGATGGCCTCGATCTCCTGACCTCGTGATCCGCCCGCCTCGGCCTCCCAAAGTGCTGGGATTACAGGCTTAAGCCACCGCACCCGGTGGGAAACATCCTTGTTTACCTCTGTTACTACTATTCCTAGTCTCAAAGTTTACTTACCTGATTAATATGACTACTCCAGCTTTCACATGCTTATTTTTAGCCTTTTAATTGGAGTGTTCTGTATATACACAATTCATGTAATTATGTTTTTCTAATATATATATATATATTTTAATTTATAGAGATAAGGTCTTGCTATGTTGCCTGGGCTTGTCTCAAACTCTTGGGCTTAAAGGATCCTCCTGCCTTGGCCTCCCAAAGTGCTAGGATTACAGGCATAAGCCACTGGACCTGGCCAGATGTAATTATCAATATGTCCACATTTAGATCTTTCAATTACTGCTTTTTATTACTCTGTCCGTCCTTTCGTCCTTTGGAGTAATTTAATATTTTTAAGATTCCAATATAATTTCTCTATTGCATTTTAGGTTTATGTCCTTATGTTTTTTTGTCTTTTTTTTTTAAGTGTCTGTTCTAAGAACTGAAATATACCTTTACATTTTCAGATATTAACATTTCAGAGTTAATATCATACAATTTATGAAAAATGTAAAAAACTTGTCACCAAATGATTCTATTTACCTGCCCATCCCAGTCCTTTCTGATATAGTTGCCATATGTATTATATCTACATATAAATCACCCAATGTTACTTTTTTTTTTTTGCTTTCAACATCATATACATTTGAAACAAATAAAGAGGATAAAATAAGACAAGTTTTCCCTTCATTCCTTTTTGAAAACAGGAGTTTGACTTGGTATATCATTTCCCTTCATCCCAAAGAATTTACTTCAGCATTTCTACTAGTGGAGGGTAGCTGGCAACAAATTCTTTCTCTTTTAAATTTAATTTTTTTAATAGAGACAGGGTTTCAGGCAGGTTGGTCTCAAAACTCCTGGCTTCAAGTGATCCACCTGCCGTGTGGCCTCCCAAAATGCTGGGATTACAGGTGTGAGCTACCGCATCTGGTCCTTTCTCACTTTTAAAATCTAAAATAATCTTCATGTGGCATTCATTCCTGTGGGATATTTCTGCCGGATGTAGAATTCTTGATTCCCAGCTTTCCCCAAAGCTCTCCTTCCCTAAGCACTTTAAAGATGGTGTTCTACTGCATTTGGCCTCCATTGTTTCTAATAAGTCAACTCTCAGTTTTATTATTATTCCTTTCTGTTACTATTTATAAGATTTTTATTGTTATCATTAGTTTTCATCAATTTGGCTATGAATCTCTTCAATATGTACAATTACATCTTTCACTAAATGTGGGGAATTCTCTCCCATTATCTCTTTAAATATATTTTTGGCCCCAGTTTCCTTCTCTTCTTCTGGGACTCCAATGACACATATTAGGTCTTAATATTGTTCAATGAGTCACTGGGGCACTGCTCTTTTGAATTTATTTTTAAAGTTTTCTTTCTGTTTTTCAGATTGAGTGATTTGGATCTTCAAGTTCACTGATATTTTCAATCTGTTATTAAGGTCACACAGTGAATTTTTATTACAGATATTACATTTTTCAGTTCTAAAATTTCCATTTAGTTCTCTTTTATAGTTTTATTTCTCCAGCAAGTTTCATATTTATTTTATTGTATGCCATTTTATATCCTTGAGCATAGTCATAACTAATAACAGCTTTAAAATCCTTGTCAGTCAGTTGTGTTGGCACCCACCTACAGTCCGAGCTACTTGGCAGGCTGAAGTGAAAGGACCACCAGAGTCTAGGAGCTCGAGGCTGCAGTGAGTTAAGATTATGCCTGTAAATGGTCACTGCACTCCAGCCTGGGTGACACAGTGAGACTCCTGCCTCAAAACAAAACAAAACAAAACAAAACAAAACACACACACACACACACACACAAACAAAAAAACTTTTTTTTTTTGATTTTCTAATTACTATATCTGGGTCATCCCATAGTGTCCCTTGGTTGCCTTTTCTTGAGTATACATCAAAGTTTCCAGTTTCTTTTTATTTATATCTGGTAATTTTGGATTGTATTCTACATCTTGTGAATGATACTTTTTAGAGGCTATGGATTCCATTATGTTCCTCTGAAGAATGTTCACGTTTTGTTCAAGGATCAAATATTTGACAATCATTTATATGCAGAACTTGGGATGTCCCTCTGAGAATTTCCCTTCACTTTCCAGGTGCTATAGTAGCCTCTATTTTCTGATTCCCCAAATCAGTAAGAATTGGGATTTCCGAGTTCTAATCACCCCCATGGTGTAGCCATTAGTAACTGCCCTCAAGCATAAAATACTAAAACTAAAGTCATCAAATGCTTTTTCTTTATTCTAAATGTTGACTTCCTGTGAGTTTCTGCCCACTTTGGTTTGGTCTCCAGTGCCTTCAGATAGTTTATTTTATTATTTTATTTTATTTATTTTATTTCAGAGATGGGGGGGTCTCACTATGTTGCCCAGGCTGGTCTTGAACTCCTGGCCTCAAGCAATCTTCCTGTCTGAACAGCCCTAAATGCTGGGATAATACGCATGAGCCATCCAGGTCTGGCCAGATTATGTTTTGAAGCATTAAAGTGTGCTTTCAATTATGTGTGTGTATATAAACATTTAGATTTTATGTACTAAATATTTATAGTATAAGCTTCATCCAGAGTAGAATTACCTGTGGGAAAATTGGTACATTATGAACAATTCCGCCATTACCAGTAGCAGAACTTTGAAATTTTTTGGCATGGTGTTATAATTAAAATCTTTTTTACAAAATCTTCCACTCTTCATTCTTAGCTCCATTCACACAAAGAATGAGTCTATACTTGGTGCATAGTAAGCATAGTAAGAGATGTCCTACAAATTATTGTTGAATGATGAAATATGGGAAAATGAAAATCATCAATAGGCACTAAATGTTCCTAGGAGAGAGAAGGTACTTTGGGCTGGAGTGATTAGCAATTTTTCACTATTTAATAAACCTTGTTTTCTCTTGGAGGCAAAGAGAACTACTCTTGGTTTAAAATATGATGCATGTAGAAGGGTTAGACTATTTTTTATTATCTCTTCTCATTTCCTGGATAAGATACTCCAGTCATGAGTTTTATTATACAAGGATCCCATATTCAGTGTAAATCCTCTACATCAGAGAAAATATTACATTTTAGTTCTCTGGGCAAATTAATTATGATTTACTATTTTAGGCAATCTTCTAAATTCCTAGGATAATTATATGAGATTCTAATTTCCAAAACATTCATTTGCAAATAGCTCATGAATACTACCCAATTTCCCAAAAGACAGTATGAAAATGAGCACCCTAAATGATGAGGAAGGCAATTAACATCTATTGAGGGACTGCTAGGTAAAAAGCTCTATAATAAGTGCTTTATCTTATTTAATCTTCTCAATTACCCAATGACATGGATATTATTACCACCTATTTACAGATAAGTAAACTGAAGCTCGAAGCTGGCCATGGTCACATAGTAGGTAAGTAATGATTGAGCATGAATTCAAATTTGATAACTTTTGACTACATTGAAATAAAGTACTTCTGTTCATCAAGAAACAAAATAAAACAAAAAAACACCATTAAGAGAGTGAAAAGGCAAGCCACAATGTGGAAGGAGATATCTGTCCAACATATAAAGAACGCATGTCTAGAATACATAAATAACCCCTTCAAGTTATTAAGCCAAAGAAGTAGAAACTCCAGCACGACTTAAATAGGTCATTCACAAAAGAGGATATCTAAGTGATCAATAAACACATGAAAGGTATTTGACTTCATTTAGTCATCTGGTAAATGCATACTAAAGCCAAAATAAAATACTACTATCCCCCTACCAAAACAGAATTAAGAATACTAACAATATCATGTGTTCGCAAGGATGCAGACAATGGGAACTCTCATACATTGTTGGTTATAATGTAAATTGATAAAACTACTTTGAAAAAAGAGTTTGCCAGCTGGGCACAGTGGCTCACGCCTGTAATCCCAGCACTTTGGGAGGCTGAGGCAGGCGGATCACCTGAGGTCAGGAGTTCAAGACCAGCTTTGGCCAACATGGTGAAACTCCGTGTCTACTAAAAATAAAAATAAAAAAAATTAGCCAGGCATGGTGGTGGGTGCCTGTAATCTCAGCTACTTGGGACGCTGAGACAGGAGAATCGCTTGAACCTGGGAGGCGGAGGTTACAGTGAGCTGAGATCACGCCATTGCAATCCAGCCTGGGTGACAAGAGTGAAACTCCGTTTCAAAAAACAAAAAAAGAAAAGAAAAAAGAGTCTGCCATTCCATGTTAAAGTGGAAGATAAACATACCATAGGGAAAAACAATTCTACTCCTACATGTATTACCTGAAATTAACCCAAAACATGCATATTAAGAGAAACACTGGTTAACAATAGCCAAAATGCTCACTTAGAGCAGAGTGAATAAACTCTGGTATAGTCACAAAATAAAATATCCCACATCAACTAAAAAACAAAAAAATGAACCACAGCTTTATAATGTTTTATTAAGGAAGCCTGATGTATACAAAATTATATCTCCTGGATGCATCCATGAATATAAAGCTCAAAAAAAAAAAAAAAAAAGGAAAACTAGACAATATAGATTAGGAGAAGTTATCAGTGACAAAACTACAAAGAAAATCAAGGAAGTACTGCCACAAAAGTCAGGATAAGGCCCAACTGTTGGGAGAAGGAGAAGGTTACTGCAAGGGTGCAACATCCTGAGAGCATGGGTTTCACTATGCTGGTAATATCTTGTATTTTGAGTATGTGATGATTACATGAATTGTTGCTATGTAACTATTTATCAAAGTAAATGTTAAATTTGAGAAGAACATGCTAGAAAGACTTGCCAGGCAGATATCAATAATTAGTATAAAGCTCTAATTTTTAAGACAGTGTGATCTAAGTACATGAACAGTCAATCACGTAGCCCAACGACCTGCATGCATAAACTTGATACACCATATAGGTGTCACTATAAACAAAGGAAACAATTTATTCAATAAATGGTGCTGGGACAATGGGATAAAACAAAATTGGTATTCATCTCTCACTATATAAAAAAAAAACAAAGTAGATTACATTCCTAAATATGGAAAGCAAGATTTTAACAATCATATGAGAAAATACAGCAAATATTTTTAAAACTCAGATATGGGAAAGAATTTAAAAGATACAGACCATAAAGGAAAAGATTGAGTAAATAACTACATTAACATTAAAAACTTTTAAACAGGAAGAGGAACCATTAAGAAATTAGAGGCTGGGCATGGTGGCTCATGCCTGTAATCCCAACACTTTGGGAGGCTGAGGCAGGCAGATCACTTGAGGTCAGGAGTTCAAGACCAGCCTGGCCAACATAGTGAAACCCCATCTCTACTAAATTACAAAAATTAGCCGGGCATGGTGGCACGCACCTGTGACTCCAGCTACTTAGGAGGCTGAGGCAGGAGAATCACTTAAACCTGGGAGGTGGAGGCTGCAGTGGGCCAAGATCACACCACTGTGCTCCTGCCTGAGCAACAGAGCAAGACTCCATCTCAAAAAAAAAAAAAAAAAAAAAAAAAAGAAATTAGATATGGTAATTTTCATAAAATTATATCACTATACACTCATGAAAGCCAAGCATAATATATGTGCTCTAATCTCAAATGGTTCAGAATTGTGTGTATATGCATATTCAAATATACACATACATATACATGAAGAGTGAGCAAGCACACAAATGATTATAAAGCTAATGGAGTAAAATGTAAATAATAAGTGACTGGATAAAGGCTACACAGGTATGCCAATTTCTCATTTGTCCTGATGAAAAATGCACTGGCAGCAAGCTGTATTTGTTTTTTTCTAAACAGAAAATGGGTTAAGAGTACCATTTTTATTTTTGCAACTTTTTAAAATTTGAAATTATTTCCAATAAAAAGTGTTCTGGTTTTTTAGAAGACATCACTAAGAAAACTTAAAGGACAAGCCACAGGTTGGGAGGAAATATTGGTAATGCATATGACCAACAAAGTGTTCATATCTGGAACATATAAAAAAAATTCCCACATATCTCTGAGAAAAAAAACACATAGGGAATATGGGCAAAAAATATGAACAGGCAATCAACAGAAAAATATGCAAGATTCAATAAACATTTGAAACTGTGTTCAGCCTGACTAGTAATCAGAGAAACAGCAATATAAATAGTGAGATATGAATGCAAAACAAAATTTTAACACCACCAAATATTGACCAGGAGGTAAGAATTCATATAATAATTCCTGCAGGATACTTTGCCAAGTCCAGTACAGTTGATGATTACCCTTGCTGAGGAGATCTAATAATTCTACTCCAAGCTATACACTCTAAGAGTAGGTGTCAGGACACCCTTTCTTTTTCTTTTCTTTTCGAGACGGAGTCTCGCTCTGTTGCCCAGGCTGGAGTGCAGTGGCGCGATCTCAGCTCACTGCAAGCTCCACCTCCCAGGTTCACGCCATTCTCCTGCCTCGGCCTCCTGAGTAGCTGGGACTACAGGCACCCGCCACCATGCCTGGCTAATTTTTTGTATTTTTAGTAGAGACAGGGTTTCACTGTGTTAGCCAGGATGGTCTCAATCTCCTGACCTTGTGATCTGCCCACCTCGGCCTCCCAAAGTGCTGGGATTACAGGTGTGAGCCACCGCGCCCAGCCAGGACACTTTTTCTTAAAGGGCCATGTAGTAAATATTTTAGGCTTGTGTGCCATAATGTCTCTGTTGCCAACTACACAACTCTACCATTATGGGCCGAAAACAGCCACAGACAATATATACACAAATGAGAATAACTGTTTAAAAGTTTTATTTATAAAAACAGAGGCAGTTGGCCTGTGGGCCAGTTTGCCAACCCCTGCTCTACTGAAACTCTCATATACATGCACCAAGAGATATGCACAAGAATATCCTTAGCAGCTTTGTTTATAACTGCAAAAAACTTCCAAAAATTTAAATGTCCATCAGTAAGAGAACGAATACATTGGTGGTGCAATCATACAATAGAATACTATACAGTAGTTAAAAAAGGAATGAATTACAGCTACACATATCAGTATAAAGGAAACCCTATGGGATGCAGAGTGCAGATAAGTTTAGAAGAATACGTACGGAATAGTGCTAATTAAGTCTGCAAATGTGCAAAATAATATTATACATACATGAATATACAGTAAAAGTATGAAGAACACGAGAGGGAAGACAAACTATACCGTTAAGAGAAGAGAAAAAATAAAAAGCAAAGAAGTGATTGATTTCCATAAATATTAGGGTGATGAATATTCACATATATATGAAAGAGGGGAGGAATGAAGTATGTGGTGGAGAAGGGATGTGCGTCAGCAGTACTGCCCAGGTCCTTTCTTTCTTTTTTTTTTTTTTTTTTTTTTTACCACACAGCTTTGAAACATGTAAAGGGTCCTATTTCTTGACCCGGGTGATGGTTACATAGGTGTTCAATTTATAATTTTTCTTACACGTTTTATGTATGTATTTTATACCAATTCCCCAACTCATAGGAATAATAAACATTAAATTCAACACACTTTACAGGGTAAGAGAAAGTTAACGTGAATGAGAAAAGATTAAAGAGCCAATTTATTGGCTACACAAAAAGATAAATCCCATTTACTGGTCAAATCACCAGGCCCAGCAGATATTTATGAAAGTAAAGGGATTATTCATGGAAATAAACTTTAATATTTCTGTTTCTTCTCCAGATCTTCTGATACAAAAAGGTATAGTAGATAAAATCATTAATGACACTTCCCCTCTGTATAATGTCTGTGTGTGTTCTTACTCATTCACTATTTTGGAAAACTTCAAACATATGAAAGTTGAAAAAATAGTATAATAAACTCCCAAAGTTCCAGCTTTAACAATTCTTAATTCACAGCCAATCTTATTTCATCTGTATCCCTACCCACTTACCCTTGTCCTCTACTGAACTATTGTTAAGCAAAACATTTTATCTGCAAAAATTTCAGCATGCTATGTCTAAAAGATAAATAATGGCCGGGCGCAGTGACTCACGCATATAATCCCAGCAATTTGGGAGGCTGAGGCGGGCAGATCACTTGGGGTCAGGAGTTTGAGACCAGCCTGGCCAACATGGTGAAACCTCGACTCTCCTAAAAATACAAAAATTAGCCAGGCATGTTGGCGCACCCCCACAGTCCCAGCTACTCAGGAGGCTGAGACATGAGAATTGCTTGAACCTGGAGGGCGGAGGTTGCAGTGAGCCGAGATTGTGCCACTGCACTCTAGCCTGGGCAACAGTGCAAGACTATGTCTCAACAAACAAACAAACAAATGATAAATAAGGACTCTTTTAAATGTAACCATAATACAATATCATATATTTAAAAACCAACAATAACTAATCAGATGTTCATCAGTGTTCAAATTTCTATAATTACCTGATAAATATATATGCTTTATAAGATCCCAAAAAGGTCCATTGTAATAAACTAAGTCCCTGAATCTGTAGTTTCCCCCTTCCATATTTCTTCCCTTCAGTCCACCTCCCTCTTTTCCATGCAATTATTTGTTAAAGAAATGAAGTGATATCCTGTAGAGTTTAACACATTCTGGATTTTGCTGATTGTATTTTCATGAGATAGTCTTTATATTTCCTATAAACTTGTAGTTGGATCTAGAAGCCTGATTATATGTAGATTAGATCATTTTTTAAATTTTGGAAAGAATACTTCTAGGTAAGCACTGTGTTCTCTGAAGTGGCACAATGTCAGGTGTCTCTTTTTGTCAAATAAGCAGCCATCGATAATTCTTTAAATCCATTATTTCATTAGGAGTTGCAAAATGTGGTGTTCAAACTATTCCTTTTTCATTTGTTGGCACCAATACTTCTCTCTAAAGGAAAACCTCCCCCTCATTCGGGTAACCAAACATTCTTTTTTTAGGTACCCTGAGGTAGAGTTCATATAATTGACACTATATATCAAGGGTTTCTTTTAAGAATTTGAGTTATACAGAAAGAGTCATCTCTGTTTCTTCAGAATGAACAGAAATGAAAGTAATGGCTCCTCCTCTTCTACTACTATTTTTTTTTTTTATTATTGCTGGAAACTACTTTCAATGATGGCCTCTTTAAAGAGGAGATTGTGGGAAAAGAAAAATTCTTATTTTGAAACATTAAAATTCCCTAGGAGGTCTTTTTCTTTTCTTTTTTTTTTTTTTGAGACAAAGTTTCGCTCTTGTTGCCCAGGCTGGAGTGCAGTGACGCGATCTTGGCTCACTGCAACCTCCACCTCCCAGGTTCAAGCGATTCTCCTGCCTCAGCCTCCCAAGTAGTTGGGATTACAGAAATGTGCCCAGCTAATTTTGTATTTTTAGTAGAGACAGGGTTTCACCATGTTGGCCAGGCTGGTTTTGAACCCCGGACTTCAGGTGATCCACCTGCCTCAGCCTCCCAAAGTGCTGTGATTACAGGCATGAGCCACCGCGCCCAGCCTCCTAGGAGGTCTTTTCAATGCTAAGACTTTATGTGTATGTAGTGTATCTGAGTCTTTTCACACGAAAATGCCAAGAACTTGACTCTGATAATATGTAGACATTCAGTATTGGGATATCTCAAGGCCCAATCCTAAGCTTGCTTTTCTATACCAGCACTGCCCAACAGAAATGTAATGCAAGCCACTAATGTGAGATTGGTAATTTTAAATTTTCTAGTAGTCACGTTAAACAAGTAAAATTAATTTTAATAATATATTTTATGTAGCACAATATAGCTAAAATATTTTAACATGTAATCAATGTAAAATATTATTAATAACATGCTTTACAGCCTTTTTTCAGTCTTTAGACTATAACACATCTCAATTCAGACCAGATACACACATAGCTAATGGCTACCAAATAAAACAACAAAGCCCTCTATTTTCCTCAGATAACTGAAACCCTAAGTTAGCCTGCCTATCTATGCTTGTGATTCACAGATATAAAACTCTTGACCTGACCACTCAAATTCAACTGGCCTAGGTGCCTCAAATGCACTTCCTAAAACTGGTCCCTTCTGAGTATTTCCTTAGCATACGCAGGGCACAATCAGAAATCTAGGAGTTGTTTTTCTCTTCCTCATCTCCCATAAATAGTTCCATACCAAGTTCTGTTGATTTTACTTTAAAAAATTATAATTCAGTTATAATCTTTCTTCACTGTCACCTCACTAACCTAAGATAACAACATTATCATATCATGCCTAGAACTTCTTTTGTTTTTTTTTTTTTTTTTTTTTTTTTTTTGAGACAGAGTCTCACTCTGTTGCTCAGGTTGGAATGCAGTGGTACAATCATGGCTTACTGCAGTCTCGATCTCCCCAGTTCAAGCGATCCTCCTGCCTCAGCCTCCCTGGTAGCTGGGACTATAGGCACGCACTGCAACACTCAGTTAATTTTTAAAATTTTTAGTAGAGATGAGATCTCACTACGTTGCCCAGGCTAAACTCCTGGGCTCAAGTGATCCTCCTGCCTCAGCCTCCCAGTAGCCTCTTAACTGGTATTTCTGCAGGTACTACAGGCCCTCTCACCATTCTCTTTTCTGAAGCATAGCTATCTTTTAACAATGGAAATCTGCTCCTATAACCCCTGCTTCATATACTTCATTAGCAACTGCTCTAAAAATAACGTTCAAAACCTTAACATGGCCTACAATGCCTGAAATTTCTGATCTTTACTTACTCTTCCAGCCTCATCTTGCCCTACATGCTCTCTCTCACACTCTTTCAAGCCACAATGGCCTACCTTCAGGACAGCAAGCAAATAATTCATCCCTTCTAGTAGATAGGGTGCACATGTTATTTCCTTGGATCAAAACACTCTTTGCCTCACCATTTCGACTAGTTAATTCTTTTGGATTTCAGCTTAAACGTCACCATAAAAGCCTTCCTTGGCCTCCATACTACGTTAGAATATTATACACTCTCATACTACTGTTTTATCTTTCCCTTATAGCAGTCTGGGTCACTTCTTATCCCTAACATAGCATACAGTAGTATTCAATACATTTGTTGAAAGACCACATGAATAGAGTAGTGAAGGTGATGGCACCCTATTCAGAATTAAATGCCAGAATTGACAACAATAAAGTTTCACAGCTGAGAACAGCATTAGCCCCTCGGAAAGAGTAGAAATTTTGCGGCCGGGCGCGGTGGCTCACGCCTGTAATCCCAGCACTTTGGGAGGCCGAGGTGGGCGGATCACAAGTTCAGGAGATCGAGACCATCCTGGCTAACACGGTGAAACCCCGTCTCTACTAAAAATACAAAAAATTAGCTGGGCATGGTGGCGGGCGCCTGTAGTCCCAGCTACTTGGGAGGCTGAGGCAGGAGAATGGTGTGAACTTGGGATGTGGAGCTTGAAGTGAGCCCAGATCGCGCCACTGCACTCCAGCCTGGGCAACAGAGCGAGACTCTGTCTCAAAAAAAAAAATAGAAATTTTGCTTATTTTTTTTTTTTTCTGTGAGGACAGGGCTCAAGAGTACATTCATGACTTTTGAAGTTTACTACTTTGTTTCTTTGCAAATAAACACCTGATAGGTCTGGAACTTCTGCAAACCTTATTGGCCAGGTAGAGAAATCTGGTAGTGAGTAAAATCTAATTATCTTATAATAGTAGTTGGTTTTGAGAGCACATTAGAGATACCAAGAGCTTTCACAAAAAATTCACACAGAATTTGTTTTGTATTAGGCTCTGTGTTAAGCACTGTGGGGAACAAAAAATCTGAAACACAGTCCCTGCTCTGAGGAACTTCCAATCAAGTTAGTGATGGTACTTGAATGGCATTATAAGAAATGCTAATAGGGCTTAGAGAAAGAGAATCTTGGGTTGATGTGATCACAGAGGAAATCTTCAACTTCAAGAAAATGCAGGCTGGGCCCAATGGCTCACACCTGTAATCTCAGGTCAAGGTGAGAGGATCCCTCGAGCCCAGGAGTTCAAGACCAGGCTGGGCAACATGGTGCGACCCTGTCTCTATAAAAAATGAAAAAATTAGGCCGGGCGCGGTGGCTCACGCCTGTAATCTCAGCACTCTGGGAGGCCGAGGCGGGTGGATCACAAGGTCAGGAGATCGAGACCATCCTGGCTAACACGGTGAAACCCCATCTCTACTAAAAATACAAAAAATTAGCCAGGCGTGGTGGCAGGCACCTGTAGTCCCAGCTACTCGGGAGGCTGAGGCAGGAGACTGGCGTGAAGCTGGGAGGCGGAGCTTGCAGTGAGCCGAGATCATGCCACGGCACTCCAGCCTGGGTGACAGAGCGAGACTCTGTCTCAAAAAAAAAAAAAAAAAAAAAGAAAAAATTAGCCGTGCATGGTAGTCCCAGCTACCCAGGAGGCTGAGGTGGGAGGATCACTTGAGCTTGGGAGGTCGAGGTCGAGGCTGAAGTGAGCTGTGATCATGCCACTTCATTCCAGGCTAAGAGACAGAGCAAGGCCCTGTTCTTCTCCCCTGTCTCCCCCCCACCACCAAATGGGAGACAGAGATGCAATTTCATTAATAGAAATCATAAATATAAAAAGAGAAGAACACTTTCAGCAAGAGGGAATGCTAAATACAAGCGACAGAGAATTCTGTTCTAGGGCTGAGTATACTGTTTTGGCTAGTAAACTAAGAAGATTCATCTCACCTTAATCCTTAGTTCTGTCTCTAAGGATCAAAACAGGTCATCAGAATAGAGAATCAAAGACTTTTTATATTATACTAATTATCTTAGCCAAGAAATGATGAGGATTAATAAACTTTGCAACCCATCTTCCAAAGCCTTTGAAACTGGGCCTGAATGGATAAATTAATTGTACAGGCATATCCCACAGACTGTATTCCGGATAGTATACCTCTCTCTCTCTCAATATAACATTTTTTTGACCATTTATACAGAAAAACTTAAATTTATTTCCCAAAAATTCAGTATGCATGGGAAAAGTCTCAAGTTATCTTCCAAATAACACTGGTATAACATATACATCACTGTTAGACTTTGTTTTTTGAGACAGAGTCTTGCTCCATTGCCCAGGCTGGAGTGCAGTGATGCAATCATTGCTCACTACAGCCTTGATCATCCCGGCTCAAGCTATCCTCCAACCTTAGCCCCCCAAGTAGCTAAGATTACAGGTGTGTACCACTATACCTGGTTAATTTTTCTGTTTTTTGTAGAGATGGAGTCTTGCTATATTGCCTAGGCTGGTCTCAAACTCCTGGGCTCAGGTGATCCTCCCACCTCAGCCTCCCAAAGTACTGGGATTACAAGCATGAGCCACCATGCCAAGCTGGTAGACATTTTTAAAACTGAGTCTAGTGCCAACATGCTTAGCATCATAAAGAGACAATTAAAAATTAATAACAGGAGTGTAAAGCTCTATTTTTATATATTTTTAAAGCTGTATTTTAAAATGTTTTACCCTAAAGCATTAACTACTTTCCCTGATGATTTATCAAATCCTGTCAAGAACTTTATAGCTCTTTACACATCCCTAAATTTAAAAAAACAAATAAATTTACAGTTGTACTATGAGCTCCTCTGAGTTTCATAGTTTTGTCTGTAATAGTTCATTCTTCCTTTGCCCATTTTGGCCATACCATCATTTCTTGATACCTAAGTGGCATGGTGTGCAGAATCTTCTTTAATATGGTAACTAAACTTTACATATTAAGCATTTGCATTTGGGAAGGTCATTCTGTTTTTTTGGATGAACTATATAAATGAAGTAGGTTAAATCATTTTAGTTTAAAAAAGGAATTAAAGTGTTGTTTTTACCATATTGATACAGTAAATACAGTTCCTACTCTTTTCTTTCTATGTCTGACCTTAAAGAAGAAGTAGAAGTGGCATTATGCTAAGATCTTGAGGAAGAAGTAGGAATTCAACATGCAGGGATTTGGGGAGGGGATGAAGGAAGAGAAGATGGGTATCACAAAGACAGAGACTGATTTGAGGATGAGAAAAGAGGTAGTGAAGTATCAAAGCCTGAACCATCCAGTTTGGCTCATGTGAAGGAGTGCTATGGCATACAGCCTGAAAAAAACAGACTAGGGCCAACACTGAGGGGTGTCAATTCTAGGCTAAACACACTATCCTCAATTTTAAAGGCAATAGGATACCTTTGAAAAAGGAAAATGGTCGCTGGAAAACAGAAAGCCATGATGAGACCTCTATTTTAGGAAGATCAGTCCAACAGCAATATGGAAGAAATTTAGAGAAGCAACGAGATGACAGATTATGTTTTGGTAAGAGATAAGGGTTTCAACTACAGTGGTAGCATGAGGACAGAAAAAGATGCAAATACTACTTAAGTAGAACAAACAGTATTTGGCCACTTTCAGAGAAACATAAACAAGACTTGGATAATATAATTTCAATCAAAACAAGCTAAAATCAGAAACTATTAAATAAAAACATGGCTAGAAACAAGTTGGTTGAACTGGATTGGGGATGGGAGGAATGACGAACTTTCTTTCGTGATCTCTGACAGTGTCTCCAATTCGCTGATCCTAGGAAGTAAGAAAGAATCCCTTTACTAGGAATCCTAGGATCCTAGGAAGTAAAGAATACCTTTCATCCTGTAAGGTATTTAAACTGGAACGTGATTTAAACTGGAACGTCTACTTACTTTTATTTAAACTGAAAGCATGAAAAAGGAGAAGGCAAATGTAAAAGGATTCATTCCCATAATGTAAAAAATGAATCATGTGCTTCTTGATCCTGTCTGCTGAAAGATTCCTTTCTCAAAGAGTATTACCTAGGGAAGAGATTCATAATTGCTAAATGGATAGATGTAGTTCTTAACCAGGAGGAAGAACATCTGTTTTCTCTCCTGATGGGATACAGGTTTCCTAGGCTACAAAATTTATCATCTACCCTACACTGCCACACACATACATAAATTCAGAAATACAGACTGAAATGCAAGAACACATAGATAAAAGCTTGTTTTTTCACAAGCTAACTCCTAAACATTAGAAGGGCCTGCTCTTACACTTCAAACATATAGCTTTTAACAACTCATTTTACAGGAAATTTTTACTTCTCTGATGAGAGTTCAGGTTTAACTGCTATGGAGAGGACTAGAGAAAACAGCATACAGAAGGTTGCCTAAGCAATATAAAGTGAGGCATATAAAAAGATCTGGTTACTGCTTGTAATTTATGGTGCTAGCTCTGTACTTAGGAGGAAATATATCCAAAACCAATTATGTATCAAGAAAACTCGTAAAATAAAATAATATATTAAATGCCTACTTTTCTAGTCCTCTGCAATCTGAAGTTAAGTTAGGAAGCCACAATTTAATGAGGCAACAAATATTTAACTATTTAAATTCTGCTGTGGTGTGTTCACAATACACAATAAAAAAGGCAGTGGGATACATAAAAGTTACACAATTCTCTGCCCTCCACAAAAAAAAAGACTATTTAAAATATCTTCATCAGTACACAGGTTTGATACATTAATGTAATTGGTTGATTATGAGAAGAAAAATCAAGTATTCCATTAAGTCTGGTTTAACAGACACTGTAATACCTTTTTCCGTTTTGGGAATGTCATATATTTTTAAAAAATTAAACGCATTTTATTTTATAAGTACTATTTACATTTGTATGCCATTTATTGGCTTACAAAATGCATTTTAATATTCTTATTAATGTTTAATTTTCACAAGCATCCATTGTAGGAATATTACCTCCACATTATAAAGGAGAAGTGGGCAAGTCTGTCACACAACTAGTAAATGACAGCAAGGATTCAAAATCAGGTCTTGAAAGGTTTAAACAATCTCAACACCAAAGACAAGCAAAGAGATAGTATTAGTTTAAGATCTTAGAAATGTAATGCATATATCAAATTAAAGACTCTTGGGCACTCGTTTATCCATGATCACCAAGTTCAGGAAAGGTCTTGGCTGGAGGAAGAAGTGGCACACGCCCTGACCTTGTTGTAAATAACTTCTTTCTACAATTTGGATGTGATTTTCATGTTTTCTACGTTTAGAAGTTACTCTTAATAATTTGCTTCATAAGTAATTTTAAAGTATTGATTAGGGTTTTAAAATCTATCAAAACTGAATTGATTGGCTGGGTTTTCTGTCTTAACTTGAAAAAGGAAAAGAAATTCTAGCTAACTCAAGAAGAAATTTCCATGTATCCAAAACTTTGCACCCCTTCTGCAAACGTATGTGTGTAGTGTACAATGAAATTTGCCACGTGAAAAATAATTACATAAAATTGTCTAAAAGGTAAAATGACTAATAAATGAAAAGGCCTGATGTCTTCTAGTCTTTTGTTCTTAACTGTAGGATTTTAAAGAGGATATGCAATATTAGTATGCTTCCTTAGTAAATAATGAGTTATACTGAGTTACTACAATATATATGAACTTTAGAAACAACATGTCATAAAAAGTTTTCTAGGAATCTTAATAGAAATAGCAACTAGTAGCAAGGTACAAATATAAATGGGAAATACGATAAAAACCACAGGTTTTTTTTTCATTCCTTCCATTTTAAAAATACAAAATATAAGGGTATATAGAAAATGTAAGAGTATATACAAAATATAAGGTATATAATAGGAAAAGGCTGGGATAAACTGCTACTTTCAACAAGAAAGTAAGATTCTAAAATTCTGGTATTAAAGTTTTGTTAAGCACCATAACTGATGCGAATCCCATAGGTCCCCAAGTCTAGAGTCTAAAATAAGGATGGGCTTATAAGAAATAGGAATTGAAGAATAGAGAATTAAAAAAATAAAAACATAAGCACTGGTTTTAAGAAGAATCACCAGTAAACTCATGTACAACATGAATTATTAACAGTAGAGAAAATCTGATGCTCATTTTTAAGAAAATATGTAACAAAAAATCTTCTATGAAAAGAACATCTTGGGTAATCCACTTATTTAAGACAGTTCTGAAAATCTCTTTTTCCCAAAGTGGATAGACAAACTAAGAAACATCTTCTAAGTAAATCTCAAGAATTTAGTAAACAAGGGTGGCACAAAATTTGTCCATTAAGACTGAAGTAATGGGGCAAAAATCTCAGGTGGATAGAATGCCTACAAGAACGTGGGAGAAAAAAGATGACCCATCTTTTCTGTCAACAATGTCTTTTAAGACATGAAAAGTAAGGAGCTACAGCAGAGCTTTATACTACAGTGTCACAAAATAATGTTAAGATCAAAGATGATTAAAACATCCATTTATTTGGCAAAATGTATGATTTTCCCTGGTATCCACCGGGAGTTCTGGAAGGCATAGATGACCAGGAGAGGGCAGCTCACCACTGCAGCTGTGAGTAAACTGTGAAGACGCGAATCCCTTTCTTTGCAAACAAGGGGACACTATACTTGTATATTTCCCATAGTCAACTAATAAAGAAGATACTGCCATTAAGAAATCAAAACCACACATGAAGTATAATAGTATAAGTTATTGCAACAAGTAACTAGTAAGAAAAATTATTGATAAGTAAATTAGAGTTCATAAAACAAGATGATGCTAAAGTTCCTGCCCCCTCAGATAAACTGAATATATAGCTAGCAACTATAGTCATTATGACTATGTTTACTATCTTTTTATACTTCAGTGTACTTTCTGTAAATAACTACTTTCTTAGAGTTTATCTAAAAAAATCTCTTTACCAAAAAAAAAAAAATCACCTTTTTCTACCAACCAAGTTCAAAATTCGGCACACTTTCTCTTGGATCATGTGTAACTCTGAAATATGTTCTACTTATGATCTGTATGTTGCTAGCAAAAACATACAGATTGCTATTGTCAACCACAATCCAATGGAGCTGCTTTGTTATCATCAAAAGTATAAAAATGGGAACTTTTCTACAATGAGGAGACTCTAGACTGACATAATTTCTTCCTTATAGGCTGAAATCTTTCACGCAATGAGTGTGCGGATAAAACAATTTAAGCACCCAGAATCATAGTTCTCATTTACTAAGACCTCTGGTTCCTATTAACACAAGACTCAGAAGACAAATTACTAGATTACAAATCTCAAAATTTATTTTCATCAGTATATTACTTGCTGCTTAGATGTTTACCTTGACTAAAATTAGGAGAAAAAAACTGAAAAAGAACAAAAGCAATACTGATTACATAAATGGTTAAAAGGTAATTGCTTAATTACGGAATTTCACTTCCTTGTGAGTTTTTCATTTGAAGTTTAAAGTAGTACTTCCAAGCCTTTTTCATGTCACAGTGTTCAAGGAAAGGTGTTTATAGAGCACATTAGGGCAAATGGAGCAGGGCACCTTCAGACAACTGACCCAGAAGCTCCTGCCAGGCCACCCTGAGAACACAAGGAATCAGTATCTTGCTCACCACAACTTATTTTTGCAATAGATGTGGCACATCAGTTAGGAAGTGATAATGTAAATATCTTTGGCCAAGGTTAAGAGGATAAGAGGAGGATCAAACAGTAACTCCAATTCTAGTTCATTGAAGACAGCATTTTACAGCATAGAAATGCTGTGGGAAGCAAAGAAGTGGCTGAGTGCAATCTGGGGTCTGTGTGTTGACTTTGACGTCTTTACCTTTCATATACATTGCTTGTTTCAACTCTTGTCCATTTTACAGAGGACAAAAGACATTTAGTTAGAGAAACTTCCTCTAAAAAAAATCTGTTGACGTCTTAAAGAAGAAAAAAATGACAAATGAGGCTATGAGACATTTTTCTTGATTTTCTTCTTTAAAAATGTCTCTCACATAGGTACAAGATTACAAGATTAAGGGGGACATATATGGTATCAACAACCACCAAAACTCTGGTTATCGGCATTGATAAACAGTAGGCCATCCATATCAAGCAGCCAGTGGTGAGAGCTAAATAATAATCTATGATCCCTTTCCTTCAACCAAAAAACAAACGAACAAACAAAAAAAGATCAGAAATAATAAAAATCCAAGTGGTAATTAAAAGAAAGATATAGAATAAAACACAGCAAACTAAATCAACAAGAGTATTTTGATAGAGCAGTTTGTCTGAACTCCATTTCAAAAGCCTTCCTCTTAGAACCCCAGTCAGATTCAATAGCTACAGTCCTGGCTGCCAGGGAGTTCAGCTTCCATAAGGCTCCTAGAGGAGTATCAAGTCTTACTAAGAAGGTAGCATGTTTTAAAACAAACTCACTGAATACCTGCATGAAAACTACCATGTCTCTGCCCCTAACAACTATATAGGTCCCATTAAGGTCAAATAGTTCATCTTAGGGAAGTCCTGAACAGAGCAATTTAAAGGCAGTTTAGTAGTCTTAGTACTTCGGCAATATAAATGGGCAGAGTAAGCTTACCAGGTATGTAACTTGTGCAGTCACACATGGGCTTGCTCTCAAAAGGGGCCTCTATTTAGTTGAACGGTCCTTTGTCGCCATCTTGAACTTGTTAATGACTTTGAACTTGTACTTTGTAGATGAAGACCAGTGGGACAATGGAGCACAGAACAGAGGAAATATGTCAAGTGTCAGCATATGCACTAAGCAGCTGGACTGGCTGCCTGGGCCCAAATGTGAATACCTGGGACAGACGTGGACAACACAGGGCACTCAAGGCAGTGGCCAGGACTGAGCCCAGATTGGCAATGGCAATGATGGCAGCAGCCCCATGAAAGAGCGGCTCAGCACTGGGGATATACAGTGGAAAGCCAAAGTACTCCTCTTCCTGGAACCTATCCTAACAGTATATGCGCAAATATTAACTCTCCAGCCTAAGGACCAGGACAGGAAGTGTTGGTGCTCAGAGAGTAAAACCTTTGTCAGCATATTATTGCAAAGTATCCAAGTCATGGCACCAAAAATATATCAGAATTCATCAAGGCATTTATAATCTCCAGTTTTATAAACCACTGCAACATTGCAAACCAAATAGCAATAGCTTTAGAAAGAGAAATTGAATATAAAGATTGTCACATTTGGTTGAAAAGAACAATATTTTTGTATGAGAACCAACTGTTTTAATGAAGAACCAACTGTTAATGAGAAGGATTATTTTAAATTTAATGTTTCCATATCTTCATACCTGAAGATATGAGGTAGGATGCACAAACAGACATTCTGAATTATATACAAGTCATGAAGTCATTTGGTTTCTTGGAAGTTGTACAACTTCCAAGTTACAAGAAATAGCAGAAAGAATATTTAAATACCCCTGTATAAATCTACACTTAGAATTAAATCTATACACAGAACTGATTTGTAGAGTTAAAGCTTTTAGAAAAATTGTTCTAAAAATTAGCTCTAGATGTTCTAAATTTAGATTTTGAAATAATTTATCAGAAATTTATCCTAATGTTGTCACAGCCTATAAAATGTTCTTAACAGTGGCATCAGTACAAGGCCTGTCCTCAAAATCAAAAATTATCAAAAAATATTTGTAATCTTGCATTTGCCAAACATAATTGACATTACTTCCAATTATATAAATTAAAAATGAAACTTTATAAAAGTATAAATTTTGATGACTAAAATGAATTTGCAGAAAAAAGAGCCAGAAAGTCATGATTAATCAAGATTTCACAGTGATAAGGTATTATTTATTTACTATCTTTTATAAAAGCATGATACCCACAAACATAATTTTGAATTTGTGTTTACTTATTTATTGCTATTAACTCTACCATGTTTTTCTTCCCAAAGGAAAAAAGCTTTAAACATTAGCACTCTTAACTGTACTTTTCCCCTTGCTTTTTGAACAAAGGCCTGCATTTCATTTTCATTCACACTGTATCCCACAAATTGTATAACCAGCCCCGACCATTAGACGCTAACCCAAGTTTTTTTTGTTTTGTTTTTCATTTTTTCTGCTACATGTTATAATAATCCAAGTTTCTTTTCGATGCTTGCCTATTGTCTTACAAAACTCCTCTGCTTCCTGAAAGCCAACCTTAAACAGCCATCCATGCCCTACCTGTTTTGTCCTTAATTATTTTTCTGGCCACTTTTCTTTAACTTCTGTGCTACAATCCTACAATCCTGATCTTAAAAGCCTGGGTTTTTAAATATCTATTTTTTGCTTTTCTCTCCAATTCCTCCAATTTGTTACTAAAATATTGACAATTAAGCCCTCAGAACAAACTTTTTTTTTTTTTTTTTTTTTTTTTTTTAAGAGACAGGATCTCGCTCTCTCACCCAGGCTAAAGTGCAGTGGCACGAACAATCACGGCTCACTGCAGCCTCAACCTCACAGGCTCAAGCGATCCTCCCACCTCAGCCTCCCAAGGAGCTAGCTGGGACTACCGGCATGTGCCACGCCAATTTTTGTATTTTTTGTAGAGCTGGGTCCCACCATGTTGCCCAGGTTGCTCTCGATCTCCTAGGCTGAAGTAATCTGCCCGCCTCAGCCTCCCAAAGAGCTAGGATTACAGGCATGAGCCACAGCATCTGGCTCCTTAGAATAATTTTTAACTAATTTCTGTTTATTCCCTGTATTCATCCAGTCACTAAATCTTATCAGATCTCCTTTGATATGCCTCTTGAATCTGTGTATTAACCCCATGCTGACTGTGATCATCCTGGACAGGATCCTGGAAACCTACTGTGAGGAGATATCTTATCTCACATGTTCTCTTTAAAGCAACTCATTTGATCCTTGTCAAACCCCTGTAAGACAGGGAGAGGAGGCGCTGATGTAAAAATGGTCCTATTTTATAACTGGAGAAATTGAGGAACAGAGACATAAAGGATAGTGCTCAAAGTCATGATAAAAGCAAACTGCTCAAGGGGGGTATGATGAGATATCCTCCATTGCCCAGCGATATCTATTCTCCTGAGTCCTTTAATTTGCAATAAAGCTTTCCTCAGATCAATTTCTCATCCAGGGCTTTTATACTTATGAACTAGAATACAAAGTATAGTTCCTAATCTTACAATTTTAGGACCAGCTATACCCCTTGCCCTAATAAGATTTTAATCTCTGTGTTGCTATAAATACCTGAGGCTGTGAAATTTATAAAGAAAAGAGGGTTTATTTGGTTCACTCTTCAGCAGGCTATATACAAAAGAAGCATGGCACCAGCATCTGCTTAGCTTCTAGTGAGGGCTCAGGAAACTTAGAATCATGGCAGAAGGCAAAGGGCGAGCAGGCGAGTCACACAGTGAGAGAGAGCTTAGCAGTTTTCAAATTTTTAAGTCTCAGGATCCCTTTATATTCTTAAAAATTGAGAGCCTCAAAGAGCCTTTGTTTATTTGGTCTGTTACTATTAGTATCTCCCATACTAGACATTAAAACTAAAAAAAAAAAAATTAAATAGTTCTCCACTAATTTAAAAATAAAAAATAAATAAAAGTGAAACTTCTATGAAAAATCTATTTTCCGAAATGAGAAGAGTGGCATTGTTTTGTATTTTCAAATGTCTTTCCATATCTGGCTTACTAGAAAATAGTTGAGTTGTCATATCTGGCTCTGTATTTAATCTGCTGTGATATGTTGTTTTGACTGAAGTATGTTCTGGGAAACCAGAATATGCTACCCCAAAATAGGAAGGATTGTTCTACTGAAGGTAGTTTTGAAGGAGCAGATGCAAGAAACCTCTCTGCCTTCCACTTGCCTAAATCAAGACATAGATTTGCAAAGACAAAAGGTATCCTGCCCACCTCTCTACTAGGAGAAACAAAGGTTAACCACTGAAGACAACTTTAGCCTGGAAAAGAATCTGTGTTAATAAGCTTCACCAACTAGCCTCTACCCGCCATATTGATTTGCCCTTCCAAAATTTACTACGGCTACAGATTCAAAGTCCTTTTCCTCAGTCTTGTATTCTCTAAAAACTTACTGTTCTTTGTTGAAAATGCTCTATTCAAAGCCACCTTGAAAACTACTAATTCCATGGGTGTCTCCCATGTATATATAAAATATACATGTCAATAAACTTCTGTCTTTTGTTATAGGTATCCATATCCAATGAAGAATCTATGAGGGTTGAAAAAAAGTATTTTTCCCCTATGGTATGAAGATTATCTGGCATTACACAGTTATGCAGTTGAAAAAGAAAACAGTAATTCAATTGCTTTTTACCATACCTATGGAAACTGTTCTTTTACACTAGGCCAAAATTAACAGGTGATAGTTTCCTAAAAGTTAGTTACAATGTAAAATCTAAAATTGGTCTCTCTTGGACAGTAAATGAAATTTTCACTCATGCATAATTTTGTAACATAATGAATGGGTCATGTGGAAAATACTGGTTCACCGAGTTTTATTTTGTGTGTACAGTACTTCCCGTTTCATCATACAGAATATTCAAAGACATGTACTAGAGTATTGAGGCTTAATAAAATTATTTTTATTGCTTCAAGAACATTCCTAAGTGAAACTAACTAGCTTTTTAAAAAAACTACAGGCATGTAGAAATAACATATAGAATATTATTAGTAAGGTTTCATGTAATTGCCTTCATTCATTCTAAGGAGCCAGAACTTTTACTCCTTACTCCTTATCATCAGTGGAAATGTCAACACATTGAAAAAGGTAAATAACTTCTTAGTATTACTAGCAACACAGATTTGACCTTGAAGAAAGGGACACTGAAAGGAACCAGGGACTCCCAGAGGTACACAGACCACACGATGAGAACTACCATTGTAGGCTGTTGGCTAGTATATAAAGAAAGAGTACATAAAGCTGCACAACACTTGGCATGTGTTTTTGACAATCTGGGGAAAAAAACAAAGATCCATGACCTATCATAATTTATAAATTCTGCTGACTCATGAATCTGAATGGCAGGTTCTACAAGGCTGCTGTTTGGAAGCTAGTAACCAGTCAGAAATGGCATTTTATCCTAATTTCATCAGGTAAATGCTGGAAACAATGTAGAATGCTTATTAAAACGTCACCTACTAATGTTGATCTGAAGAAGTCAATTAAAAATATCTGTTGGAAGAAAATACATGTTACATGGAAAGAAGTAAAGAAAAATCTGTTATAGTGATAATCATTAATTTAGGATTTTGCAAAGACCTCAGGACAATTCCCTCAGCACTGTTAAGAATCTGTGGCTGGGCAAAGCTCATTCACTTATTTTCTCATTTCTTGCACTCTAGAACCTACCACAAGTCATCTATAGTCCCATTTTGATAAAGTGAATCAAGACAAAGAGCTAAAACCAAATGATAGGTTACTCATGGTCTCCCAAAGGGCTGATAGAGCACTATGATGCTCATCCATTGATATCTACTCAATTATTTATAATCTTTCCTGCCAAAGTAGCTCATTTCAAATGCTCAGTGTTGGCAAATATTAAAATACAGTAGCCTTCCATTATCGGTGGGTTCATGTTCCACAGTTTCAGTTACCCGTAGTCAGCTGTAGTCCAAAAATATTATATGAAAATTCCAGAAATAAACAATTCTTAAGTTTTAAACTGCACGCCATTCTGAGTAGCATGATGAAATCTTGCACTGTCCCCATGAGGATGTGAATCATGCCTTTGTCCAGTGTATCCATGCTATATACCTTATCTACCTGTAAGTCACCTAGTAGCCATCTGGGTTATCAGATTAACTGTTAAGGTATCACAATGCTTGTGTTCAAGGTCAGTAGTAGCCTAATACTACATCACAATGCTTACAATGCCTACATTATTCACCTTACTTCATCTCATAATTTCACATCAACACAAGAAGGGTGAGTACAGTGCCACATTCACATTAACTGACATTATGCTATACTGTTATAATTGTTCTATCTTGTTGTTCTCTTATTGTGCCTAATTTATAATTTAAACTTTATCATAGGGATGTATGTATGTATAGGAAAAAACAATGCATACAGGGTTCAGTACTATCTGCAGTTTTAGACATCCACTGGGAATGCTGGAATGTATTCCCTAAAGATAAGGGTAGACTACAGTATAAACATCCCAAGAGGCTCTTCTGATACTAGTTATAAGGCATCAGCAGTGGCAGCAATGTGAGTAGTATTAGTGATTATTTGAACCATCAATTTACATGCATACCATATGTTACAGATTTCCAAGAACAGGTTGAGTATCCCTAATTCAAAAATCCAAAAAAAAAAAAAAAAGAAACTTTTTGAGCATTAACATGGCACTCAAAGGAAATGTTATGCTCCACTTTAAGTATATAACACAAATATCTCAAAATTTGAAAAAATCCAAAATCTAAAACATTTCTGGTCCCAAGCATTTTGGATAAGGAATACTCAACTCGTATGTACTTTCACATACTTACTCTAATTTCATGAATGTAGTAATTCTTAAAGTAGGTAGAGATCACCTTTTTATAGATAAGTAATCTTTTTATAGGTAAGTAATAAACACATATTAGCGGGCTTAAACCCAAACCTTCTGACGCCTTTTTTTAGTGTTCTTTCCTAGATTTTATCACTTGGAGCTCTCTAGTCAACACCCCACTCTCATCTTTTTTTTTGTGGGAGTCTGGGATCCTCAAAATGACAATGAGCCTTCTCAATTATCCCAGATGAGATTCAAACCAATATAAAGGGTTAACAGCATTTAAAAAGTTCCCAACTCTTTGTAAATAAACACCAAAGGCTGCAATTTCCCATTAAAGATTACCATTTTTCTTATGTCAGCCAACTTTCAAAAGTATTATCTTAAACTACATTTATTCAGCAAGCATCTGAGTACCTCTTAAGTATGTTAGTTGGTATGAATATTGTTCAGATTAAAAAACCTGCCAGTTCTTCGTAAAATGGAATTCACTGTAACAAATAAATTGTGATTATTCTGGTTGTACGTTCTCACCATAACTGCCATATACCTGAAATATAGGGATAGTCCTTAACTCACACCATCATTAATGGGTTTTGCTAAATATTCCAATCATTAATGTTCTGGTAACACTCATATATTACTATTACTAACATAATAATGGAATCGAAAAAGGTTTTGGTTCACGTTAAAGAAAAATTTAAACAACTGGCAAAACTGAAATTAGTTTACTAGCTCCTAATTTCCAGTATAAAATTATAAGTGCATATATAATAATTTATATACTTAAAATATATGTTGATAGGATGGTTTAATTGTATAAAAGGACTATCTTTAAAGAGTCAACTTTAAACTGTATCAAGGAGGTAACATTCATATCTATACTTGTGAATCATAAAAACGGTTTTGTTTTTTAATCTATGTTGTGATGACATGTGATAACTACTAAATATGTACCATTCCCTCTCATATTCATGTTACCTGTAATGAATCAAAGACCAAAGTGATAGGAAGTCTCTGCTGAAGTTTAATGTAAATTTTTTTTTATGTGAATCTCCCTGGTCCCACTGTGTGTGTCACGTGGTCAATTTAAATGAAAATACATGAAATGGAAATTTGTTCTTTTCTTCTTCAAGGTCATTCGGTTTACCATGTGTTTCAGTCACATCTGTATCATGTACATAGATAAAGAAAAAGTGGATCGGTAAAATAAAAATAATAACCATAAAATGCTATAACTTCAATGTCTTAGACTTATCAAGATTCATTAAAGAAGCAATGTAATTAAAATTTGCATTGACACTACAATCTTTATTCATAAATCCTGGTAAGCCAACCTCACCATAAGTGATACAGATGTATTTTTTTCCCTAAGTCTTTTAGATGATCATATTATGATTTTCCTTTAAAAAAAAACTATGATGATAAAAGAATAGCATAATCTAATTATTATTCTTCAGGAAATAAAGGGAAATCACATTGTGTTGATTTTTTAATAAAAATTCAATTTTCCAAAAAACAGTTTTCTTGCCGTATCTATAGACCTTTTAGAATCTTAGTTCTAAATTTTACCAGATTCATTAACTTTTTGTGACAAATGTTCTTATTTATGGGAATATGAGTTGTTTTAAATGAAAATGACTCAGCTGTATTTTAATGAAAGGAAGGAAACAAACAGCTCATTTTAACATAAATTTGAGATTTTTCAATAAAGGTGTGAAATTAATTTAGAGTCAGAACTATTAAGTGGGGGTCTCAGAAGGCATTTTAAAGCCTGGCTCCACTTGAAATTCACCAATTTCTAAAAGTTACCTCTAACACAAAATAATAACATTGGAGATGATTAGCTCTCAAATACCAATGTTGGTATTACAGGATGGTACTATGTTTGTCCTCACTTAATGTTCTCTCAACAGGTGAGAAAGCAGTATTAAGTCAAAATCAGCTCTGACTGACGTAAGGGTGACTTAAATTGGGTTGACTGGTAATCTAAGTTAAAACAATAATTTGCAAAGTTATTATCATTTCACCTTGAACGTTAGTTACACTTCAAATTTCACTTTTACATTGAATAGAAATCTCTATGTGTTTTCCTCTAGTGACGGCAGGAGACTACTGTGTTTACATTTTGTATGTGACTATAAGTAATTTCTTAAAATATCCGGGGGACAATAGAAGGGATGAAATTAAGGAATTCCAAAACTGGCATATTAAAATCATATTCAAAGTATATTAAGTATATTAAATTGAGACCAATGATTGTTACACTATTTTGGTTCTGGCTCATTTGGGATGCATATTTTTACTTTTGCCTTAGGCAAAAATTGAAGATAGATTTCATAAATATTTGGGAGTTCTTGGTCACAACCCTGCACTCAATGCTATCTACTGTTTTCAGGTAAATACTAACATATTTTAAAATAAGTTACTTAAAATCACAAAGAAAAACAAACTACCCATCTTGGGATATACTAGGGCAGTTTCAGAGCAATGGAAAATCAACTTAGAGCTGTTTAAACGAGAAATATTACACCTCATTTTCATAAATCCAATTTATTCACAAAAATTTGGTATAGTTTATACCAAACCATAAAGCCTATAAGAGATATATTATTAAATAATGGTATGTTTTCAGAAGGTTTTACAAAATTGTGAATTAAAATAAGTCTATGTTTTATATATTAAAAAAGGCAGGGAAAGAACAAAGGGAAGAAAACAGAAAAAACTAAATTAAAAACACTAATGTAAGCTAATACTGCTTACATATGAACATCAAGATGCCAAGGGACCCAATACAATCCTCAGTCTAACATTTTCAATGGCACAGCCTAGTGATCACACGATACTGGTGATACTCTCTAGTTACCCCTGGCAACCTTTCTCAACTGTAACGATGCTACCCTACAATAGCTTTCACTGGGCAGCTTTCTCTTCACTTAGCTGAATGCTCTGGGACCATCTGCGTCGGCAAGCATAAAAGGCCAGCCTGCCTGTGGGCCCGTCACTCTGAACACCACCTCTCTGACCCTGATTAAATACAACTTTCAATCCTTTTTGTCCTCCCTGTTGACTTCTCCTATTAAGGGAGCCCTCTGACAAAGAAAGCGGAAGAGTGGACTAACTGCCCCCAAGAAAGGTGATGTCTGATACTGCTCAACACAAGGATTAGCAAGCCAATACATAACAAAAGCAAGTTTTGGGGGAGGGGAGAGGTAAAGAAAAAAATGGTTTTAGCTAGAGCTTTGACTAATTCAGTAGGTACACAATTCAACAAATAGCTATACAAGAGGACTTCTTTGATAGAAATAACTATAGCAGAACAATAATTTGGAGAGATACCTTTCAAGATCTTGACATAAGACCATGACATTGACAAAAAAGCCAGATATTTGTTTTCTACTTGATTTTTTTAAATTAAAAAGGAAACATAGTTGAGGACAGGAAAGATTGCTGAAAAAAATGAGAAATGAAATAAAAATATAAATAAATCATAATTATACTTGTTTCATTAGAAAGGTTGCTTGGCTTACTGAACACATTAAATTGACATTTGAGTTTATATAAAGGTGGAAACCAATTCCAAAATACTACAAACAATCATTTTTGTAACTCATCATGCCTAGACTGAGAGAACTTCAATTTGAAGAAACTAGTTTCACAGGATGAAGTCCTTTTAATAAAAAGAACACATTTTAAAACTTCCAAGTAGATGGAGGCTTGTCAATACCATCCACTTCTGTAAAGTAATCAGAACCCACCAATAGGTCAGCTGATCAAAATTACCACCTTTAATAAAACCATCACTTTACAAAGTAACTCATAAGCTTTCCTGCCCTGATATCAGGCCAGCTAATAAATGAAAGATCTGCCTGGCTCAATCAACAAAGCAATTAAATAATGCAACCTCATAATATACCTTGAAACATTAATGAAAAAAATAAGTAAAAACCAACAAGCTAAGGAACTCTATTCTGAGCTACTTAAAAGTCTAAAGTAAAACTTGACTGTACCTTATTCAAGGAATGGCCAATAAGCCTAGAAAAGTCAAGTGAGAGAGAGAGAAGAGAGGCCAGGCGTGGTGGCTCACGCCTGTAATCCTAGTACTTCAGGAGGCAGAGGCAGACGGATCACCTGAGGTCAAGAGTTCGAGATCAGTCTGGACAACATGGTGAAACCTCGCCTCTACTAAAAATACAAAAATTAGCTGGGTGTGGTGGCAGGCATCTGTAATCCCAGCTACTTGGGAGGCTGAGGCAGGAAAATTGCTTGAATCCAGGAGGCGGAGGTTGCAGTGCGCTGAGATTGCACCACTGCTCTCCAATCTGGACAACAGAGCAAAAACTCCATCTCAAAAAAAAAAAAAAAAAAGAGAGAGAAAGAGAGAGATTGATTCCTAGTACACATGAGACTTTCTGTGATAAAACTAGGGAAACCCTGGACAAACTGGGACAAGGTGATCATCCCAGGAGAGAGGCCACATATATGGAGAAAACTATTCATGTGCTAAACACTGTGCTAGATTTTTTCACAGAACTTAATTCACTTAGTCTTCACAACAACCCTATGAGGAAAGAATTTTTTAAATGAGGAAGTCTTGCTAACTATGAGGATAAGTGATCTTTACAAGGCTGGACTATTAGAAGAACAGGAATCAGAATCTGACTGCTTATCTTCAAAGCTCATGTTTCTATCACAATACCATGCTGCCTTTCTACGAGTTAGGCAGGAAGAGCGGTGGAGCCATCATTTTCCTTCAGCACAAAATTTGGCAAACCCAGAAGGACCATACTCTACACATCTCTGACTATGTTGTATTCCAGGAGACCTACAGAGAAACAAAGCAGTGCTTGATTGATCATATAAATTATGGTGGAATCTGAATTGATAAGAGTGTTGAACACTTTAGAAAATCTATGTACTGGCTGGGCGCGGTGGCTCATGCCTGTAATCCCAGCATTTTGGGAGGCCGAGGAGGGCAGATCAAGAGGTCAACAGATTGAGACCACCCTGGCCAACATGGTGAACCCCATCTCTACTAAAGATACAAAAATTAGCTGGGTGTGGTGGCACGCACCCGTAGTCCCAGCTACTTGGGAGGCTGAGGCAGGAGAATTGCTTGAACCCAGGATGCGGAGGTTGCAGTGGACTCCAGCGTGGCGACAGGGCAAGACGCTGTCTAAACAACAACAAATAAAAAAAAAAAAAAAAAAAAGGAAGAAGAAGAAAATATAAGTACAAAACATGCTGCTGGGAACAATTCTTTATTGCTGGATTTCCTGGCTTTATGGGGCTGGGAATTGGCTCTTACAGAGAACGAGGTAAAAACTATGTTTGATAAAGAGAATAGGATCAAGTGTTGAGAATAAGAACTGTGTTCCAGAGCAGGATTCAGATATTCAGATACGGCACTGGAGAACATGACCATTCTCCCTTCTGAGGTTCTCCAACATACCCAGTAATTCCCACTACCAAGATATTGTCACAACAATAAATGGGACCATAGACTCACATCAACAAAAGCCCATTTTAAGAAGCAAAAATTGGGTTGATGTAACCATCTCCCCACCTCTCCCACATTTCCCTTTTCTAAGGGAAAGGGACAATATTCAAGTTTATGGGAAGACAATGTTCTATAACAAAGAAACCAAAGAAGATATGAGATATCCACAAGTAACTAAAATATTAATAACAAAGTTACATGTGACATCTGCATTGAGACTATGACAGATTGTTCTAAGAATTTTACATCATTACTTGTTAGAGTAAGTAGGGAAAGCTTTACAAAAATAGTTATCAGTTGGGCTGGCTTTGAAGGCTGGTGGAATTTAGTTCTGGCAGTCTGATATGAGACAAAGCATTCCAGCTACAGATAGATGAGCAATGGCAAAAGCAGTAAAATCAGGAAAGTATTCAGTATATGGCTATCATCTAGCACTCATAATAAGTTTTTACTTGAATTATGACATGCTTATCAATTTCATCATGGTGTCTTCAGGGATTCACATGAAGGCACCTAACAGGTTTCAGCTATAGGCAGTAGGTATCCAAAACAGGCCTTTTCACTGCCTTTCACTGAACATTCTTTCTAAGAGCTTCTAAGTACTTAGAAGGGTTGGGCAACCAGAGATCCCTGGCTCCCAAACAATGTTATTGGGTAGGAAATCTGGATTAACTGAAGTTGTAGAGTCTAAAAGAGTATAAAAGAACATTTGGTTTAACTTCCCAGATAATACAGGAACCACTACTACTGAAACGCTCCAGGCAGGAAATTAAAATAACTGCAATAACATCATTTTAATTTACCATTTTAAATTACTTTAATTCTTAAACAGATTGCACATCTAGAAGCAGGGTGGTATAATAGGAAAAGTTCTAGCTCTGAAACAAACTGACTTTACCTTCTGAACCTGTTTGTTCAAAAATAAAATTAGGTTAATACCTGTTCTGACTACCTCCTCTGAGAACTGTAAGGGTTGTATGAGAAAATATGTCAAAGTATGTAAATATTAAAGCATTATACAAATGTATTCTACTATCATTTATGCTGGCTTATATATAAAACACTAAAAATAATTTTTAACACATTCATACCTAGATAAAAGAGTTGAAAAACAACTTTTTTTTTGTTTTCTAATAAATAGGAATAAATAGGCAATACTCTTCAGGTTTGTGACTTGTCTTGGTGTCAAGTGAAGAGATGATGAAAATATATCCTTGATTTCCAGCTTTATTATTATTATTATTATTATTTTTACTTTTACTTTTTTTGAGACAGGGTCTCACTTTGTCTTCCAGGCTAGAACACAGTGGTGCAATCATGGCTCACTGCAGCCTTGACTTCCCGGGCTTAGCAGAGAACTACTTAGTTGGGACTATAGGCACATGCCACCATGCCCAGCTAATTGTTTTTATTTTTTATTTTTCTAGAGATGGGGTCTCCCTGTGTTGCCCAGGCTGGTTTCAAACTCCTGGGCTAATGCAATTCTCCTACCTTGGCCCTTCCCAAAGTGCTGAAATTAAAGGTGTGAGCCACTACACCCAACTTCCAACTTCATTTCTTATCAAAACTGGACCAATGGCTTTGAAGCCTTAATGTCCTTAACTGCTATACTGAAAATAATTTTCAGAAACAGTACAACATTCTGGTACTGATACCACATCACCTAGAACAGAGTTACAGATGGGGTATTCAAGTTTTAAATAAACAATACATTTGAAAAATGGTGTAATTCCTGTCTAAGAACACTTAAATGCAGTAAGGTCACTGATCTCTCATTGAAATGGTTTTTTGCTCATTTCTCTCTCTACCCAGGTCCCTCTTCAAAGTTTTATTTTGTCACTCAACAGTGAGCAACAAGAGACTTCAGGAAAGTTACTTGATATCACTACATTTTTAAACTGGAAACAGCAATAAAAATACCTACCTCTCCTTCACAAAGCTGTGAAGTGAGGTGTGAAAGGCTAAGTGACAGAATATAAAAATCCACAAAGTACATTTATGTCCACTTATATACGTTATCTAAAAAATTTGAACTCACAGAAGTAGAGAATAAAATGGTGGTTACCAGGAGTTTGGTGGAGAGGGGGTTGGGGAGGTATCTGTCAAAGATAACAAAATTTCAGTTAGATAGGAAGAATAAGTTAAAGATATCTGTTGTACAACATGGTGAGTACAGTTAACGATACACTGTATTCTTAAAAATTGCTAAGAGAGTAGGTTTTAAGTGTTCTCATCACAAAAAACAGGTATGTGAGGTAATACATATGGTAATCATCTCAATTTAGCCATTTCACAATATATACAGTCGTCCCACAGTATCCAGAGGTTCCAAGGTTCCAAGATGCCTCAGCTACCAAAATCTATGGATGCTCCTGCAATCAGTCCTGTAGAACCCATCGATACAAAAAGTTGACTTGCAAATATATTTTCCACCCATGGTTAGTTGAATCTGTAGATACCGAGAGCCAACTGCACATATTTCAAAACATCATGTTGTACATGTTAAATACGTACAACTTTTAATATGTCAATTTAGAAAAGGGGAAAAAATACATGATTCTTTTTCCTGCCCCAAATGATGGTCCACACTGGCCCAGAGTTTACTACACCAGTTTTATAGCAATGTGTTTAGTAAATGCACTCTTCATTATAGTTTATAATATCCTATACTGGTATAGTACATTAAATATTTCACAATGCATTCACATTTGAAACATAATGAATTAGGTAACAAAATCATTATCATACGCTGATGCTAAAGATGGAGAGCCCTGAAGACCCTTGTGGACTCCTGTGGGTTCAGTTAACATTCTCATGCTGATTACCTTCCTAATCTATATATCTAGCTTCATTCTCTCTTGAGCTTGGCTCTATATTCATATATCCAGTTCCTTTCTGGACACCTCAAATTAGATCATCCACAAGCACCTCAAATCAAATGTTAAAAACAAACTATTATTTGTCCACTTTCAAACTTGATTCTCCTCTAGTATTCACTATCCAGAAGAACAGTACCATGACCTCTCATCTATTTTAGAAAGGAATCAGTCTCTTTAAGTTTGATCTTGCCATCATCTGCCCAACCCCTGCTATTCTTTGCCTTCTGCCAAACTGACTTGTAAATTGTAAATATGATCCTGTCACTATCTTACTAAAAATATCTTTGAGATATTCTTGATTTTTCTGATCGTTCTTATAAATCCCTTCATAATCTGGTCTCACTTTACCAATCCAGACTAATGTCTCACTATTCTCCATTACCTTTAAAACCTATGGTCCAGCCACACCAAATTATACATAAATCTCTTAAGCAATAGCAATAGGGCTATATACCTGCTATTCTCTGAACCTGCAACAACACTCTCTCTCTTCCAGGCCTTCCTCTGTTTAGCTTATTTTAATTATTCTTCAGGTCCTAATTCAGTTTTGGGAAATCAGATAAGACTTCTGGAGGAAAGAAGTCTTGGAGTAAAGAAGTCTTACCTGATTTCCCAAAAGTGAATTCAGAGTCCTAGACGTCCCCATGATGTCCTATATTTTCATCTATCAAGGTACTTACACTTTGTATTGTAAGTATCCATTTATGTGTCTGACTCTCTCTTAGGCTACGAACTAGTTACTCTTAGGCAATAACACATTTCTACTGCTTAACATTGTCCACTCTGCACAGGTAGGTGCTCAACAATAGTTTGTTGGATTGAATTTAGTTTACTGTTATATGGCTTCTAAGAAATTATTTGCTTATCTAATAATTTGCTAGTATATTTTAAAATCACAATTTCAACTGTTTAAATGGAAATTCCTTTCTTTTATTTCAGTCTTTTAATTTTTAAAAATAGCTTCTTCTTTAAAGTACTAGAATATTGAACATTAAAGAAGAGTTACATATCCTTTCTATTGAAACATTTCAAGGAGAGGATGAAAATCTGAAACTACTGACTATAACTGTGTTCAAAACATAAAAATAAAAAATAAAGTTTATCTTTAAAGTTACTCAATTTATGCCAAATATAAAATTTTATCTATCTAAAATATTTATCTACTTTGCACTCAGAATCTGACATACATATTACTGTATTTGAAAATCAGTCTTTTCTAAAAATTTGATTTGTCTTAAAAACCAAGTCATTTTCTACAAGAATAATTTCCACTTTGATCCCATAAAATCAGTGAGAAAAAGGGGTTTATATACTCATATGATATATTAAAATAGGATTTGATTCACTTTACAGACAACTTTTCTTCCAAGTGAGATATATCTATCATGTTTTGGTAGGCTTCTTATGGGGAAATTAGCTATTATAAATTATTCAATGGAACAAATGCTCTCCACCATTCTTCACTACTGACTTAAAAAAAAATTCAACACTGGATTCTATTCCACAGTGAATATATATGAAAAATACACAGTGGCCCTCACTGATCAATCATGGTAGAACCCTCATGACACAGCCATAGCCAACAAACAGTGCAAAACATTTACCACTTCTTTTTAGAACAAAAGGAAAAATGTGAAAATGGCAGGATTACTTGGGTTTTAACAGGAAAAAACTGTCTTGGCAAAAATAATTCATTATTATTCACCCTCTCTTAATACATGAAGATTAAAGGCCTCCCTCACTTCCAGGAAGTTTATTATAAATCAAATCATATTTAAAAACATTAAGAGTTAGTTCCCTTTTAAATAACTCATATGGATAAGCTATTTTAAAATAAACTGTTTTATAAAATAAATTAACTTCCATTTATGTAATTAATTGGGCTATTTTAAAAACCATTCTGCCTAAAACAAAATATAACCCTCACTATACTATGGTATATTCAGTAGGAAATCCAAGTTGCTCTAAAATAAAAAATGTTTCTATTTAAAAAACAAGGGCTGGGGCAGTCTTTTTCTTCTTTCTTTCTTTTTTTTTTTTTCTTTAAACGAAGACATTCCTGCACAATAAAAATTCACTTAACTTTACTCCATAAGTACTTGACCTGTACCACAAAGCAGCTCAGGCTTGCAAAATGGCTAGTATGAGAAGCAAAAAGAGTAAGTTTGTAAGTCGAGCTGGGCAGCAACCATATGGCATTACAAAGGACCACTAGGAGACAATAAACATACCAAAAAAATGCTTAATTTAAGGTAAATCCTTATTGTTTAATGAAGTGAAAAATGAATAAAATGAGTCAAGATGTACAGGATAGTAAGTTTGGAGACACAGAAGACAAACTCTACGGTCATATCCTCAGACCATACAATTTTACAGCAAATTGTTACTACTACGTAAAAATCCACTGTGCGATGCTCTTTGTGAATTAACCAATGAAAACACCAGAAGGCTAGCTAGACTAGTTAATGTTTCCACTTGAACTTTGATCAACATTTTGCTGATACAGTTGTATCTACAGATTGAAAAGTGTTTTCAAGGGTTTCAGTTGGCAGTCTGGACAATTTTTTGTTGTTGTATTCAAATCAACCATGTCTGCAAAGAAAGCATGCTAACTCCTCTAGCATAGTCCACAGTGCAGTTTGAATAGTTGTTCCCTGGCTTTGTAAGAGTTTAGTATGTGTGTATATAAACTCAGTTTTAACCCTGAATGCAAGGACCTTGAATACTGCACAGTGGTTTCTGTGGCACTTACAATTTACTAATAAATTACAAAATGGTAGTTTGAAAAACTGAGAAAGCAATATTGATATCTCCTCTAAAATAAGGTCTTTTCAAAAAGTAAGATTTTGCCAAAAATGAACAGCTAAAGAGTTTCCAAAGCACTTGTAGCCGGCAATACTCAATGCTGAAATAATTTCACAGTATTAGTGACCAGATATCTACAGATATAATTTTAAAACAAAGGTTTAGCATTTTCCAGAGAAGGCTTTACTAAATATTTAAAATCTGTTTTCATAATGTTTAAATTTTACACGGTAGATCTATGACATCAACATAAAACAAATATATATAAATTTCAAATGGCTTATCCATCGATTCCTTTAAAAGCTGTATTAATTTGGATGTCATAAACTTTGCTCAGAAATAATTCTGTATTTCCTGCCATAATTCTTAACTATGTTTTAGCCAAAAAACTTAAATGTTAATCATAATAATCTGGGCATTTTGGTTTTCTAAAATGAAAGAAATATGCTTTTAAAAAAAGAAGAAAAATAAATGTGCTTCTTATGTCATAGGTAAGTATACACATATGACTCAGATGATTGCTTTTCTCTAATGGCAATTCCAGATGTGAGGGTCAAACTTGTCACTGAATCTGGCTTTCCTTAATACAAAACCATTCAGGGTGCTGATACAAAGAATTGCTTCCTGAAGTTCAAATATACTTTCATACTTTTGTTTAAGCGTATGTAAAGCTTTTAATTTAAAAGCAATTCTTAATAGATAAAATATGTAAATGTAAAATGTAAATATAAAATACACAATTTAAAATAACTTGAGGCAGCAAGCTCTAGATTTCCAATAGTATCTCAGCAACAATTAGAACACATTTTTAATAAGAGCTTCACTATGTCATCCTGTCAGCTTGGCTTTATTGTATTAATACAGGAATATGTACTATCAGAAAGAAGTTCAAAAGCACTATCTACATAGAGTACAAATTTCTGATATAAGTACTTGGTATTACATAGCATTAATAGTTCAAATAGCAACAGAAATACATATTATGGACAAGATGGCATAAGCATACATTTGCTCCACTGACAGCACCATCCCAAGTATCATGGGAAGCAAGGAAGTGCCCTCATACATATAGCATATAAATTATATAACCAAAACTCCATGGATCCATTTGTAACTCTCTAGTCAAAGCTAAACATCACATACATTTCCATTTACCTTAGATGCTAGAGAAAAACTCAATTTCCTTTGAACATCATTTGGCAGAAAGCCAAGCAATAAAGAATCTGACATTAGTTTGGAAATTTTAACGGATTGCATGTAGATTATACCAAAACATTTTAAAATGTTAATCATTTTATTTAATACTAATTTAATACAAATAAGCAGTTATGATTTCCTTATTTGGCAGCCAAATATTTGGAATGCTATTGGATGCTCTATGCACCTACCCCTATAACAAAAGCCAGTTCATTATTTATTCAGATTATTATTCAGATGGGAGAAAAAATACTAATGGAAAATCTGAGAAAATATCAGCATCACTAAGATAAACCAAAACCTATTTTAACAGAAAAAAATGGTGCAATGTTTCAAGAAGAACTGGAATTATATATTCTGAATGATCCTAAGCTGATGAGCCACTACTGACTTAGGGGATAAACATTTTATTACAGCAGTCAATTTGGAAGTTATAAAATTCCTCTTTTGGGAGTTATTTGGGGGGTTAGAATAGGGATGCAGCTAGAAAAATCAGTGAAATCTCCAGAATGAACAGCCTGGCACTTTAGTATCTCACTGGGCACTCAGGAAAGCTATACTATAGAAAGCAGGTTACCATTTATGATAGTTGTATTTTCTGTGTTATCTAGAGAAAAACAGGTTCATCCATGCAAAATGGAGTGTTTTAGAAGATACTGCTGCTAAAATGAAAGACTTTTCAAAAGGAAAAAGTGATTATTCCAGATGAAATGAGAAGCTCCAATGTCAACCTTACTTCCTGAATCAGCAAAAATCAAAGCTTTACTCAGAATAGGAAATTGGAGATTTTCTTTTAATTTACATATCTTTTTTGCTGAGTATGTTTTAGCTGAAATATGAGAGAACTTCTAAGAGACAGCACTTCTCATTTCCAATCGTGCTTTGCTATGGCATTATAAAATGTATAAAATTCCACTACTTGGAACTAAGAATACATAAATTTTACTAGCACTAATGTAGAAGAATCAAGAGTTTAAGTCAGAAATAGCTTTTCATTTATAACATTTTGTTATACGCTCATTACCCAGGTCAATACCACACCAAATACTCAGCTCTAAGTAAAAATTTTAGGTATGACTGGGACTTATCTAAATAGCTAAAGGTTTGGCATATTATAAGCAAAATTCTTAAATAAACATCAAAATAAAAAACAAGAAAAATATCTTTGACCCAGATACCTTATTGTAATGTGCACACTTATTGTGTATATCAATCCTTTGATTAAATGAGAGGTCCAAGTGTGGTAAGAGGCCTAGATAAATCTCAGAAATTATTGTTAAATGAATTTTTATTTTTTAAAAGTGAAATTTTATTCAATACTTTATAAAATTTCAATAGTATTATTAAAAATCTGAAAGTATATCCACATTAACAAATATCTATCTCTTGGCTATTTCTTTTACGTCAATATTTTATTGCATATTAAATGTTTTTAATCGTAGTTGGGTGGCTTCTTAACAATAACAAACACAAAATGATGGCCTTTTAGCTAGAAAAAAAATTTTTTGTTTAATTCCATCCCTTTTGAAAGAAATGACGTAAAGTATGCCATCTCTATCCCAACCTTTGCTACTCCTGCTGCTTCTTTTCCTTTATCTTAGGAATTGAAGGATGAAATGCGGTCAGATTTTCCCTATTTAAATGAGTTTATTCAGTGAGGGTAAAAAAATTATCTTTTGGTTTAATCTTAAGTGGCAAGAAAAATAAAAGATTTCTTATCCACAAACTTTTTAAACATCAATATTTTATTTTCTCTGGCCTTTACATAATACCTTACCAGAATTCACCCAGTAACCATTATTAATAGGTATAAGTAAAATTTGATTTATCTTCCTTCTAACACACAACTAATTAAATATCAGATTAATGTAGTTAGAATTTGGGCAACTCTCTTTTATTAACCTCTATACAAATTCTCTAACAATACTTAATGGCACATAAAACATATAAATATAAATTTAATATTCTGAGAAACTAGATTAAATTAGTAACAATCTAAAGCCAAAAATATATACTGAGTTATTTTACTATGAGAAAAACAGGACCTGAACAAAAAACGAACACCAATCATGGGAAAGGTAAGTAAAGTTTTTGAAGATTTTTCTGTATTCTCTTCACAAAATGAGTCACTTATAAGGAGGAGTATTCAGACTCAAATGTATACTGCCCCAAACCCTCAACCACAACAGACAACCTTCTAATGATGTATAAAGCCCAGGTTTTATGTTGATCATTATTCTAATAATTGGCTTTTAATACATCATTTTGCTACATAAATGCCTCGCAGCTTACCCAGGGAAACTGTCAAACATTTTCCTTTTTATTTTAATGTCTACTGAACATCTCTGAATGGTTCCCATATGTTTTCATTCAATATTGATATTAAAAGATAAAAACAGCAAAAAGAAAAAGTCTTTGTTTAAAAGCTTTAGGAACCAATCTCATCCTGAATTAAACATACAGGTAAAGCACAGTGCAGTTAAAAGGCAGACTGTGTCCCAAATATACATGCATAATGGACATCAGGTTTATATGATGTAGAAAACCAACTTCCCCAACTGTAAAGGGTTTGAACAGGCCAATTATTTCTAACTATCCTGTGATGAATCATCACTTTTTCAACAGTGTACAGAGACTAAGGGATGGCCAATAATAAAAAAATGACAGTGTGGTGGCCTAGCCTTATAGAAGCTGGTTTTCATAGACCGAGCTGAGATATACCTGCTGTTTTCTAAGGCAGTATCCCATGCTTAAAACCCTCCCTGTCTGCCTTTGTTCAGTTCTTTTACTAGCAACCAATCGCTTTCTTTTGTTTCAGCCTAGTAAAAAACTCAAAGGACTAGAACATGAAGGTCATCTAGGTCTACAACGTAGATGAACAAGCCAACAAAGCAACATCACAGGGCAAAGAGCAAACGCATTGTAATAAGAATCTAATACCAACAAAAAGGAAAATCAATATTAAACAATGAAAACTAGTAAACACTTAGGATGAAAAGAATGACTGCTTTGCTTTATATAAATATTTAGATAATGTTCTTTTAAATAAAAAATGAAACACTAGCCAGTTAATAATTATTTTCAAATTTAAGTGAAATACTTTCTGCAACACACAATAATAACACAATGACCTACTAGCTAGGAAAAAATATACTTAAATTTATGTGTAAGTAAGGGAACATTTTAAGTCCTTTGGCTTTTTCTAATAATAAATTTCTTTTCATCTATGTAGAACACTGATGACTCCAATTTATTGTGTTGTTCTTAAAATGTAAAAACAAAACTAACCACAACTATATAGAGTCCTAAGCTATATGGCAGAAACAATCAACATGTAAAATAACCAGAGAATTTGTTTACTTTTCAATCCTATGTAGGAAAAATGAAAATAATTTCATAATTATTTATAAAAAGCTGCTTTTCCAGCTTTTGTTTTCCCTACTACAACTTTGCAACTATTTCCTTTTTACATTTTCATTGCAATCGTGATGTTAATTGCTGCCATCACATTTATTCGACATGCCAAGTCTGCGGTGGGGCAAATGGGATTCTCATGATTTGAAGCACAGAAAGAAACAGTTGAAATGATCAACCAGGTGAGAAACAGTCTCCTGAATAATAGCAAAATAATGCAATTTCATCTAAGCAAAATCGAAACCAAATTTTGCCTTCAATAAAGGCCATTTTTTAAAAAAGTGGACATCAAGTGGATCGGGAAACATTTATTATTAAACAGTTTCTCGGTAACACAAAAAAAACTTATTTACTAAGGTTTCTTCTTCCATTTTCTATTCTCCTCAAAGAATATTGGAACACAAAGAAAAAAGAAACCAAACAGTTAAAATATACTTCTGTTAAAGGAAGAAAAATCACTTAGCAAAACAGTACAAACTATTACATATCATAGCAGGTGTACTGTCCAAAAAAGCTACATCACCTCAGAGAAACCTACAAAAAAATCAGGAATATGTCAAACAAGCAAAAAGTTCCTACTTCATTTCTCTTTGCATGAGGTGGAGAAGGAAAGCAAAAGTAATGTTACAATAGTATTATAAGAAAGTCACTAATAAATCTGGTTAACCAGGATAGAGAATCAGTACTGACTTGTCAGGGCAGATGCTATAAACAAATCTCTCCTTTCTTCAAGAGTGCTAAACTCAACACAAAAGATCATGGCAGAGAGAGGTCAAGACTCTGATATTTCTGTTTTCTGATCATCAAGGCAATTAGGAAAAACAAAACAAAACTCTGAAAGCTAAATAGGTGAGATTTTTATATGTTCATAATAAATGTGATCCGTTGATTCAAAGGGTAATGAAACGAAAATGAAATAACAACGGGAATGAGTTTTGCCCACCACCAAGAATTATACATAGAAGGGATTACGATCATTAGTGTTTTCTTTAAATGTCTCCTTTATAATGCTGTGATCCAGCAAATACACACATTAAAATATCCCAATAATCCAGTGCTACTAAGGCATGGCTCTTAATACCATCTGTCCCCACTGTTTTCCTGAGGAGAAACTGATTGTGCTCTCTTTAATAACTCTTGCATATTAAACTTGCATGTCACATCTCTTCTAAAGGTTAAAAGCACTTTGAAGACAAGAACTATGCCTTATTTTGTGCCATTCTAACCTAGATGCCAAAAATTTATGAATTATTTGAACTAAGTGACCATTGTGTGAAAATACAAAATAAATACAAGACATATACTTCCTGACTCAGAGAGGTTTACAGTACGGTTAAGGAGATGAAATATATAAATTAGAAGCAATATCACTAATTTTAAAGAATAGCTTTTTAAGTGATACAGTCAAGGGGAAAGACATGGAGGAAAGGAAGGAGAACAGAGTATGAAGACAGAACCCTGAAACATGAGAAGAGGATCACTATCTATTCATGAAACCTTAAGTCTTGCTAGAAAGATAGCATAGAGAGTAATTTCAATTAGCGCTTGTGAATTTGAAAGGAATATTGCTAAACAACACATTTCTCAGAGAGTTATTCTTAAGTAAAACCAAAAGTACAGTCTTGTTCTAATGGAATATGTTCACTCAAGGCATGAAAGCAGGGGCACTGGCAGTTCATTTTGAAGGGCAAAAGGGTATCTTGGGCCTTCCTGTTGTGTCTTCTTTTTAAGGAACTCCAGGTTGAGTGCTCAGTCTTCATAAAACTACTGTACAGCTTGACTAGTACTGGTTTCAAAGGCAATTAGAATTGCCTTTGGTTAGAGAACTTTCTTCAACAAGCTAGCGTAGAAGGAACTGAAATAATAACTGTAAAATAGGACCTACGGGAAACTTCTGAGACATAGGCACCCCTCTTGAAGAAGTTCAAATTGAAAGCACTTGGGTGATATAATATCTATGACACAACCTCAAAGGCAGGAGATTATGAGATGCAGGAGATGAAGGATATTTCTAAAGCCAAAATGTAACAACTGGAGTGAAACTGATAAAATGATTTTTCAACTTAGCTTTTCATCCTTCCAAGGCAGAAAAATTGAGCAGCCTGCACTGTGCCGTGTATGGGACTTCCAGATGAGGTTTACTGTATGCTATGCATAGGAATTAAAAATCTGAGAGCACTGGCCGGGTGCAGTGGCTCACGCCTGCAATCCCAGCACTTTGGGAGGCTGAGACGGGCGGATCACGAGGTCAGAAGATCGAGATCATCCTGGCTAACACGGTGAAACCCTGTCTCTGCTAAAAATACAAAAAAAAATTAGCCGGGCGTGGTGGCGGGCGCCTGTAGTCCCAGCTACTCGGGAGGCTGAGGCAGGAGAATGGCGTGAACGCAGGAGGCGGAGCTTGCAGTGAGCCGAGACAGCGCCACTGCACTCCAGCCTGGGCAACAGAGCAAAAAAAAAATCTGATAGCACTTCAGATAAAAAAAAAAAAGGTAGAGAAATACCCTGTGAGCCTTGGTTAAAATATATTTTAAAATATAACATGGTCTTCATCAGTTTCCATAAATTGTCTAGAAATCTAGTTCTATACAATAAAGTTATCTTCCCACAATAATGTATCATCTCACACCTATAAGAATGGCCAGTATCATGACAAAAAACAAATGCTGGCATAGATGTGGAGAAATGGGAACCCTTATACAATGCTGATGAGAATGTAAATTAGTACAGCCATTATGGAAAACAGTGTGGAGGTTCCTCAAAAAACTAGAAGTAGAGCTACCATATGATCCAGCAATCCCATTGAGTTATTTATCCAAAGACAATGAAATCAGTATGTCAGAGATATCTGCACTGTTTATTGTAGCACTACTCACATTAGCCAAGATATAGAATCAATCTATCTGCCCACCAACAGAGGAACAGACAAAGAAAATGTGATATAGATACACAATGAATACTATTCAGCCATTAAAAAAAGAATAAGGGCCAGGTGCGGTGGCTCACACCTGTAATCCCAGCACTTTGGGAGGCCAAGGTGGGTGGATCACGAGGTCAGGAGATGGAGACCATCCTGGCCAACATGGTAAAACCCTGTCTCTACTAAAAACACAAAAATTAGCTGGGCATGGTGGTGTGTGCCTGTAATCCCAGCTGCTCGGGAGGCTGAGGCAGGAGAATTGCCTGAACAGGGAGTCGGAGGTTGCAATGAGCCAATATTGTGTCACTGCACTCCAGCCTGGCGACAGAGTGAGACTTGTCTTGAAAGAAAAGAAAAAAAGGACAGGGAAGGGAAGGGAAGGGAAGGGAAGGGAGGGGAGGGGAGGGGAGGGGAGGGGGGAGGGGAAGGGAGGGGAGAGGGGAAGGGAGAAAAAGAAGGAAGGAAGGAAAGAAAGGAAGGAAGGAAAGGAAGGAAAGAAAGGAAAGAAAAGAAAGAATAAAATCCTGTCCTTTTTGGCTACATGGATAAGCCTGGAGGACATTATATTAAATGAAATAAGCCAGACACAGTAAGACAAATACCACATGATTTCTCCCATATACGGAGTTTAAAAAAGCAGCTCTCACAGATGTACAGGGTAGAATAGTGGTTACCAGAGACTGGCCAAAGACTGGATGGAGAGAGGTTAGTCAATAGGTATAAAAGAACAGATGGATAGGAGGAATAAGTTCTAGTTTTCTGTTGCACAGTACAAGTACAGTGATTACAATTAACAATAATACTACATTGTATATTTTTCACAATAACCAGAAAAGAGGATTTTGAATGTAACATTTTGAATGTACTTGCCAGAAAGAAATGATAAATGTTTGAGGTGATGGATACACTACTACCCTGATTTGATCATTATACAGTGTATACATGTATTGAAACATCATACTGTACCCCACAAATATGAATTGAATATATTGTACATAATCAAATAAAAATAAAACTTAGAAAGTTATTTTTTAAATTATCAACTTGAGAAAAGATTAAATGACACTGCAGGTAAAACGACATAGCAGACATTCAATAAATTGTTAAAAGAGTGGCTAAAATATTTTCATAAAGTTATAATGAAAAGCTGAAAGGACAAACACATAAGGCCTGGAAGAATCTTTGAAGCTTTCACAAAGACTATTTAAAATTATTTTAATTTTTCTAAAAAAAAGGAAGTGTACAATGTACATAGGATTCTCTATTAGATGACACAAGTACTAGGTTTTGGTCTTTTAACAGTTAACTATTTACTCTCTTTAGCATCATTTCCTTTCTTCTGTGTTTCTTATCAGAAAATCTATCCATAGGGTATGGATGGTGATAAGGGATGGTTAACCACCCTATACTTCACTGCATCCCCATTAGGGAGGTGGGTACACCATTCACACCCATCCAATCCAAACATCAGACCCCACTGATTGGACCAGGAATAATCCAAGCTGAACCAATGAAAGAACTTCTTGTGCTTTAACCAGAATTATCAAAAAAGATACTATCTCTGTCTGAGACATAGGTGTTAAGGACATGGAAGTCAAAAGTACCCAAAGCCATTTTCCTCTTACTACAGAAGGCCTACGAATGAAGCCAGTCAGCACAGAGAACAATAGATCTGAGAAACAGGATGAGCTAGTGTTAATGCTTGGACCTCTAGAATAGATCTAGAATGATCCAGCTATGCTGAGAACAGATAAATGCCTAAGTGAGTCAATAAATCCCTATCCTGGCCGGGCGTGGTGGCTGATGCCTGTAATTCTAGCACTCTGGGAGGCCAAGGCGGGTGGATCACCTGAGGTCAGGAGTTCAAGCCTGGCCAACATAGTGAAACCCTGGCCAACATAGTGAAACCCTGTCTCTACTAAAAATACAAATATTAGCCGGGCGTGGTGGCAGGCGCCTGTAGTCCCAGCTACTCAGGAGGCTGCGGCAGGAGAATCGCTTGATCCCATGAGGTGTAAGTTGCAGTGAGCCGAGATCGTGCCACTGCACTCCAGCCTGGGAGACACAGTAAGACTCCGTCTCAAAACAAAACAAAAACAACCACCAAAAAACACCCTCTAATCCCCACTTCCTTACCTTCTTTTTTCTTTCTTTCCTTTGGTTTGGGTTTCTAAAACCCTCCATCATTTTCTCTTGACCCTGTCAGTCTCCTGTCATTCCTTCATGTAGTGCCATTCTCTGCCATTCCTAGTAATTCTGTGGCTCCACTGCAATACTAAAAGATGGTGAATGAATGCCTGATCTGGGGATATTTCAGTCTACTTAATGGTTACTTGACCTTACCACTAAACAAGGTGAGGAAAGATTTATGGATAGAGACTACAGAATCAGTTCTTAAAGAGAACATAACCTCTAATTGTTCAAAAATAGTTGTGATCTCATTATTTAACACTGGTATGCAATTAAGAAAATTAACATTTTCAGAAAGTGCTCTCAGTAAGAAGTCCAATCACAATTAATAAAAATCTATCTTTATAAGCATATTATACCCAAAACCCAACAGGAAGTCCAAAAGCCAAAAGAGAAAGTAGTTCACAATTTCCCAGGTCATATGCCTAAAATTTGCTGAGGAAAATGACAGCATTTGGTATTATTTTAATTCCTATCCTTACAAGTTAAGACTAAAATAAAATAATACAAATAAAAACAAGAACAAGCTTAAGATATGCTAGGCTAAGCTATAATGTCTGGTGGGTATGGCTTATTAAATAAATTTTTGACTTAAAATATTTTCTACATGCAATGGGCTTTTAGAAATATAACCTCACTGTAAGTTAAGGAGCATCTGTACTTTGAAAATAAGTATTTCCTTGGGATACCTTACCTATAGGAATCCATTAACATTTGATTTGGAAATGAAATAGAATGGCGATGTTACTTTAAACCCTTAAGCCAACACCACCAACCTGGGAATACTGTCTCATGTGAATTAATATTGGTCAATATAAAACACGAAGACACAAACCCCTAGGACCTTACATGTTCAAATGATTACTGAATTAGGCCTAGCAATTTCTCCTCTCCAATATTAAGAGTTATAAAAAAATATATTTACACTTTCATCGAAAGAACAAACAGAAAGGGAAGAAATGATTTGCAATTTGAAGGGACTGAGCCCAAATATTTCTTTATCTCTTTATGTGTATGTGATGAAAAAGTTGCTCAACAATTATTTCTTGACATGTCAACAAAAATTTACCAAAGGCTTTGGTTGCAACGAAACTTGATTTACAGACAGTGAAATTTGAATTTCATAGAATTTTCATGTCATGATTTTTTTCCCAGTCATTTAAAAAAGTTAAAGCCCTTCTTAGCTCCAAGGCAGTACAAAAACAGGAGATTGGTTGGATTTGGCCTATGGGGCATAGTTTGCTGACTCCTGTTCTTCACCAAGGCAGCAAATTAGAATCATGTAACAGCTTTAAAAAATTATATGTCTCTCCCACACACCCAGATGCTTAGGCCCTATCTGTAGAAATCAATTTCCTGGCTAGATGAAAGGTGAGGGTGAGGGGGAGTACAATAAAACTATGAGATTTGTTAAATATTCCAGATGATTCTAATGTGTAGCCAGGGCTTAAGACTATAGAATTTAGAATCAAATGGACATTCCATAGCTTCCTAAATTTTGACAAGACACCTATTCTTTCAGATTCTTGGTTTCCGCATCGATACTGTTCAGAACTGGCACATAAGTGCTCAGTATTATCATTCCCTTTCACTGCTGCACTGTACACAGTAACTGCTTAGTACACGTCTGATCAACACAATTCTGCACAAAACATACTCCTCTCCTTTAAATAATTTAAGAAAAATAAGGCAAGAACACATGTAAACCAAAACGCAGAAATGTCTGTAATGAAATAACTATTAACACAATACATTGCTGTTTGCAGAAATGTGACAACCAGCAACAAAAAGAAGAGACTCCAGGATTATATTTTAGAATAGCAGAAAGGGAGTAACAGTGAAAAGATCCTAAGAATAACATACCTGTTTGATAAAAGACCCAAAACACTGAGAGTACTTCCTTCTTCTATTAATTAATTATAGGTCAACTATCACTTGCTGACCAAAGAACAGAGTACTAAGTCTTCCAGCTTCCTCAGCATTTCTGCCTAATGCCTTGGGGTAGGTGAAATGTGCCCCCAAAGTATTGAGAGTCTGCTCAGTTTTAAATGATAAATACTTGACCATTGTGATAGGAAGCTTTCAACAATTAGGGTGAAAAAAAATGGAGAAAAACAGCCACTTCCTCTACCACAAAATTATGTATCGTTTAAGGTATAAAGGTTTGGTTTTCATTAATCAACTTAATGTTGAGTTATAAATTTTTTAAATACTATGTATAATTTTCAGGAAGGTGGCTTAATAAAAAAATATACAAAACAACAGCTTACCTATTAACCAGGAACAAATATAAAACACAAAGTATATCAGATCTCGATAGCAACACCAACAAAATTAAAACATCTAGAAATATATTTAATAAGTAATACGCCAGCTGATATTTAAAAAGCCATGAAGTTTACTGAAAGATATGGAATATCTAAATAATTCATTCTAATGTCTTAAACTTCTAATTGAAAGATGCCAAATTAATATACGTAACTAGTGCAATTCCAATTAAAGCCCCAAAGACGTTTATGGCCAGGCGCGGTGGCTCATGCCTGTAATCTCAATACTTTGGGAGGCTGAGGCGGGTGGATCACTTGAGGTCAGGAGTTCAAGACCAGCCTGGCCAACATGGCAAAACCCTGTCTCTACTAAAAATAGAAAAAATTAGTGGGGTATGGTGGTGCACACCCTGTAGTCCCAACTGCTGGGGAGGCTGACGCAGGAGAATTGCTTGAACCCTGGAGAGATTCAAATGATTGCAGTGAGCCGAGAGAGATCACACCACTGCAATCCAGCCCGGGTGTCCTAGTGAGGCTGTCTCAAAAACCAAACAAACAAACAAAACAAAAAAACCCAAAAGGACGTTTGTAAGTGGTGTAAAAAAAAGTCTAGAGTAATTTAAATATGACTAACAAAGAGAACTTATTCCACCACATAGAACCATAAAGTTCCAGTAATCACAACTATGTAATTAAAACAAAAACAAATCAATGAAAAAAAATCTAGTCTGAGGTCCAGCTAGATAAAAAAATTAATTCATTATACACATATTTATGGAATACTGTTCTAGGATCTGCAATATCGCAACAGAGGAGAAACAAAAATTCCTATTCTCATGGTGCTTATATTCCAATGGAGAGAAAAAATATTGAGTAGAAAATTCAAAATATATTTTATTATTTTAAAAAAAGAAAAGCTGCTACCAACCTAACTCCAATAAACACTTGATATTTAATATCTTTTCTATATATACATTCATAAAATAATGCCCCATCCCACATTTTTTCCCAACAAAAGTGAGATCTTGCTGTTATGTCCTTTCTTCCCAATTCAATATATGATCACACACCATGTCAATAACAAAACAAGTATATGGCAGCTGTCCCATAAAATTCCTATCACCTAGTGATGGTGTAGTCACTGTTATGTTTTAACAATGCATTACTCACAGGTTTGGGGTCATGTTTGTGTAAACAAACCTACCGCACTGCCAGTCATTAAAAGTCTAGCAATACAATTATGCACAGTACATAATACTTGATAATAAACGACTGTTTCTGGTTTATTTATTTACTATACTTTTTATTGTTATTTTAATGTGTACTCCTTCTACTTACTTTTTAAAAAAGTTAACAGTAAAACAGGTCCCTCAGAGGAATTCCAGAAGTCATTTTTACCACAGGAGATGACTGTTCTGTGTGTGTTTTTGTCCCTGAAGACCTTCCAGAGGACAAGATTTGGAGGTGGAAGACAGCGATATTAACGATCCTGATCCTATTAGGCCTAGGCTAATGTGTGCTTCTGTGTATGAGGTTTTAACAAAAATGTTTAAAAAGCAAACAAACAACTAAATTAAAAATCTTTAGAAAAAAGCTTATAGAATAAGGATACAAACAAATTATTTTTGCATAGCTACACAAAGTGTATTTTATGCTGAGTATTATAGGAATCAAAAAGTTTAAAAAGTAAAAAGTTGATACAAATGTTGTAACTGGCATAGTTTAATCTATTATTAAAGAAAAAAGTTAATAAATTTAGTGTAGCCTAAGTGTACAGTGCTTATAAAATTTACAGTAATGTAAATTTTCACATTTACTCAACACTTACTCACTGCCTGACCAGAGCAACTTCTGGTTCTAAAAGCTCCATTCATAGTAAGTGCTCTATACAAGTATACCACTTTTATCTTTTATGCCATATTTTTTACTGCACTTTTTCTATGTTTAGATACACAAATATTTACCACTGTGTTACAAGTTCCTACAGTATTTAGTACAATAACATGCCGTACAAGTTCATACCCTAGGAGCAATAGGATATCATATGGCCTAGGTGTGCATGAGGCTATGCCATCTAGATTTAAGTATACTCCATGATGTTCACACAATGATAAAATCACCTAACTACACATTTCTTGGAATGTATCCCTGTCAGTAAGTGACATATGACTATACTGTAAAAAGTTGCCCATTTTATTCATAGAAAAATGTTGATGTTTAATTCTTATATAGCATTTTATTGTTTGAATGTACCTGAATTAACTACTCCCCTGTTGTTGGCTTTTTGAGCCATTTATACAAAGAAGCTGTGAGCCATTAATCAATGTAATATTAAATTATCAATGTAATATATTAAAATACATGCTGGGCGCGATGGCTCACACCTGTAATCCTAACACTTTGGGAGGCCAAGGAGGGCAGATTGCTTGAGCTCAGGAGTTCGAGACCAGCCTGGCAACACGGTGAAACCCTTTCTCTACTAAAATACAAAAAATTAGCCGGGCATGGTGGCAGGCGCCTATAGTCCCAGCTACTCGAGAGGCTGAGGCAGGAGAACTGCTTGAACCTGGGAGGCAGAGGTTGCAGTGAGCTGAGATTGCGCCACTGCACTTTAGCCCAGGCGACAGAGTGAGACTCTGTCTCAAAAAAAAAAAAAAAAAAGTTCCCTCTTTTTCACATATTATAATTGAACTATCGTGATTGGGTAGAAGTATGCAGAAATATATTTTCTTATATGAATATATTCATATAAGCATTCATGTTTATATTCATATAAAAATTCATATTTTCTTATATCAATATATTTTCTCATCAGATTTTAAAAATCAGGCCAGAAACAGGGGCTCACACCAGTAATCACAGCACTTTGGGAAGGCATGGCAGGAGGATCACTTGAGTTTAAGACCAGTCTGGGCAAAACTGAAATGCTGTCTCTACAGATAAAAACAAGAATAAAAATAAATTAGCTAGGCATGGTGTTGCTTGCCTCAGGAGGCTGAGGTGGGAGAACTACTTGAGCCTAGGAGTTCGAGGCTGCAGTTAGCCACGACTGTGCCACTGCACTCCAGCCTAGGTGACAGAGTGAGACCCTGTCTCAAAAAAAAAAATAAATAAATAAAATCACCTTTATAATTTACAGAACTTTACAATAAATTTTGAAAAATCAAATGCATAAAGTAATTTATAATGTAATATCTACACAATTAAGGTACAGAACATTTTCATGCCTCCAAAGGGTTCCTTCATGCTTTTTCATAATAAAATTTCTTCCATTTAAACCTGGTAACCACTGATCTGATTTGTCATTAGTTTTGTCGTTTATAGAATAGTCATAGGAAAAGATTAATACAGTACATAGTCCACTGTATCTGACTTCAATAACTTAGTATAAAGAATTAGAGGCCGGGCACTGTGGTTCATGCCTGTAATCCCAGCACTTTGAGAGTCCGACGCAGGTGGATCACTTGAGGCCAGGAATTTGAGACTAGCTTGGCTAACATGGCAAAACCCTGTCTCTACTAAAATTCCAAAAATTTAGCTGGGTGTGGTGGTGTGCACCAGTAATCCCAGATACTCAGGAGGCTGAGGCACAAGAATCTCTTGAACCTGGGAGGCAGAGTGAGCTGTGTCGTGCCCCACTGCACTCAGCCTGGGCAACAGAGCAAGACTGTCTCAAAAAAAAGAAAAGAAAAGAGAAAAAGAAAGAAAAAGGAATTAGAGACTCCTCCATGTTGTGGAATGCATCAGTAATTTGTTCCTTTAAATTGATAAATCAACATTTGCTTATCAGTTTACTAGGTGACGAACATTCAGGTTATTTCAAGTTTTTATGCAATTATAAATACAGCTAGTAGGAATATACAGGTTCAAGTCACTTTGTGGACATGTTTTCAGTTCTCTTGGGTAAATACCTGGGAATGGAACTCCTGGGTTGGATGGTAAGGTATATATTTAGAAAAGACTCTTCCAGTCTGTGTAATTCTTCATTATGACTATCAATGTATACAAGTTCTTGTTACTTGACATTCTCCATATATTTGAAATGGTTGATCTTTTCAATTATGACCTATTCTAGTGGACAAGAGCAGTATCTCATTGTGGTTTTAAGTTTCATTTTCCTAATAACTAATGATTTTGATCTTTTCATTAGCTTATATTTGCCATTTGTATATCTCCTTTAGTATATCTATAAATCTTTTGCCCATGTTTACTTGGATTGTTCATCTCATTATTATTGAGTTGTAAGAGTTCTTTGCATATTCTAGACATAAATCCTTCGCAAATATTTTTTCCAGGTCTGTGGCTTGCATTTTCAGCTTATTAAAGTATCCTTTGAAGTCTACATATTTTAAATTTTGATTAAGTCCAAATTTTATATTTTTCTTTTTATAGCTTGTGCCTTTTGTATCAAATATTAAAATATATAACCCAAGGTATTCAGATATCCTGGTTTTTTTTTTTTTTTTTTGAGACGGAGTCTCGCTCTGTCGCCCAGGCTGGAGTGCAGTGCCGCAATCTCGGCTCACTGCAAGCTCCGCCCCCAGGTTCACGCCATTCTCCTGCCTCAGCCTCATGAGTAGCTGGGACTACAGGCGCCCACCACCCAAGCCCAGCTAATTTTTGGATTTTTAGTAGAGACAGGGTTTCACCTTGTTAGCCAGAATGGTCTCGATCTCCTGAGCTCGTGATCCACCCGCCTCGGTGTCTCAAAGTGCTGGGATTACAGGCATGAGCCACCGTGCCTAGCCAATATCCTGTTTTCTTTTAGAATTTTCATATAATTCTTACATTTAAATCTGTAGTATGTCCCAAGTTAATTACTGTATGTTGTGTGATGGAAGAGATATGGTTCATTTTTGGCATATGGCTATAGACTGGTCCAGCACCAATTTGCTGAAAAGCTTGTCCTTTCCCAACTGAAATGTTTGGTATCTTTATGTAAATCTACTAGATTCTTTTCTGTCCCATACATCTACATACTAATCTTCACAATACTATCCTGCGGTTTTAATCATTGTATTCTAGATCCTTTTGCATTTGCAAATACATTTTATAATCAATTTAGAAAATTCAACTTAAGTTTTTTTTAAAGCCTGCTGGAATTTTGACTGATATTGCACTGAATAAATAGATACATCTGGAAAAAATTGCAACCTTAAAAATATAAAGTCTCATCCATGAACATGATATAACTCTCCATTTATTTAGATTCTTTTTCTCTGCATTGCCTTATAGTGTTCACTGCAAAAGTGTTATACATTTTTGCTATGATTACTATTAATATTTCACATTTTTTGATACTGTGAAAATGGCATATTTAAAAATTCAAGTTCCAATTGTTTGTTGCTAGTATACAGAAATATAATTAGTTGTTGAATACTGACCTTGTTTCTTACAAAAAATTTTGCTAAACTTATTAGTGCCAGTAGCTTATTTGAGATTCTCTCCAATTTTCTAACTAGATTTTTATGTCAACTGCAACTAAAGATGATTTAATATTTTTCTTTCCATTTCGTCTGCCTTCAGCTTCTTTTTATTGCCTTATTGCACTGGCAGTACAATGACTTCCAGACAATTGACTTCCAGTACAATGTAGAAATGTATCTGAGAAGGGACTGTCTTGTCTTCTTCCCAGTTTTAAAGTGAGAGCATTCAGTCACTAGTTGCAGGTTTTTTAAAAGGTCCTTGAATTGGATTAAGAAAGTGCCCCTTGTACTCCTAGTTTGCAAGACTTTTGTTTATTGTTTTAATCTATCATGAACAGGTGATAAACTTTGTAAAATGCTTTATCTGCATCTATTGAGGAAAACATTTTTTTCCTGTTAGTCTGTTAATACAGTAAATAATGTTGCTTAATTTTCACGTTAAACCAACCTTTCTTCCTAGAATGAACTTCACTTGATCATGACATATTAATCTTTTAATATATTACATAATTCATTTCCTAATATTTTGTTAATAATTTTTTGTGTCTATATTCATGAAGGATCTAGATCTGTAGCTTTCTGGTAGTATCTTGCCTGGGTTTTGTGTAATAGTAATACAAATCTTATAAAATTAGTTTGGAAGTGTTACCTTATATATTCTGGAAGAGTTTGTAAAGAATTGGTATTATTCCTTCTTTAAAGTGTGATATAATATACTACTAATGCTATCTGGACTTGGATGTTTCTCTACTGGAAGATTTTAATCTAACAATTCACCTTCTTTAATAAGACCATTTAGGTTATCTATTTCTTCTTAATTTTAACTTTCAAGGAATTTGTCCATTTCATCTAAGTTATTGAATTTATTGATTTTCCATAAAATTTAGGATCTGTGTGATGTTCCTCCTTGCATTACTAATGATGGTAATTTATGTCTTCTTTCATTTTATTCCTGATTGGTCTTCAATTCTGTACTTGAATGTTTATAGAATTATTCACAATAGGAATAAAATAATTCAATAATAATCCAGGGATAAAATGAATTATTCTTTCTCTGAATTCCTGATTGGTCTGGCTTAAATGTTCTTCAGCTTTACTGCCAAAACATGGAATGCAGTGAAAGCCCTGCTAAGAGAGAAATGTATAGGTGTAAATGTTTCGCATGAGCTCCACGGATCGCTACACCTGCTCCTTTCCAGTTATTCTTTCTTCAGCCTTGGGTAATTTCTTGTCACACATGCACAGATGAGTATTCGCTCAGACTCTCAAGAGGTTCATTGAGTTTTGTGGAGATTTGTGGATCTCATCACTTCTGTCCTGATGCATCTCACTACTCTCTAGTAATTTTATCCACAAATTCTAGACACCTTGGCCTCCTTGTACTTCAAAATCTATCTCTTCAATGTAGTGTGATGCCACCTGCCCAAGATCTCAGTATGTCTGCCTTCCCTGTACCAAAACTGTCTCTAGGCAATAAGGTGGGAAGAGCTACAGAAGTCACTTTATTTCCCTTCTAAGATTAGTGTCCTATACTGGTTATTATCCAATGTCTATAAACAATTATTTTATTTTGTAGACTGCTTTTCTAGTTTGAAGCAGGAGTGTAAATTCAGTCCCTGGGACTCTGTCATGGCTAGAAGTAGGAGTCTACATTACTCCTATGTTCTTTAAAAATTAAAATACACACATATACACACATGACCTGAATCTTAGGGGAAGAAACACAGACTTCCAATTCCTGGGATAGTTGCCACACTGATTTTAAAAAATTGTACACTTTAAGGCTTTTGGTAACAATTACCAGTACATGGAGCTAATGTCTTTGGATAATTTTTCATTGATCTCTGTATTAAAAATGATTTTGTAAGTTTAACCTGAATTCTTAAGAGTATCTCAAACTCTCGCAAGCGGTATAATCAATTATAAAAAGTTTTTTCCTTTTAAAAAATTAATATACTGTTTGTGACCCCTTTATTAATATTTAAAGACAAAAATCTCCTTTTACCTTAAAAGAATAAAAATAAAAAAGAACCAGAACCTAAGTTTTACATTTTCAGGGTATAAACAAGCATTTGATAAACCTCTGTAATCCTATCACCCAAAGAAGACCACTTCAATTTTTAATAGAACATTGTCTTTTTTAGGCATAAATTTTTTTAAATGAAAAATGGGTGCATGCTGTTTTACTACCTATATTTTCACTTGTTAAATCATAATATTCTATTAAATATTTGTTCAGTCACTGTCAATGGTTATAGACTATACCACAGCAAACAATTCATTACTATTAAACATCTGGGTTGTTTCCAACTCTGTAGTAAAGACCTTACATACACTCTATTATTCCTTAGAACAAATTCCTGTAAGTGAAACGTGACATTATTTTTTGTCATTTTTCTCTTTTACTGTGGTAAAATATATAAAACGTAAGATTTGTCATCTTAACCGTTTTAAAATGTACAACTCAGTATCATTAATTATACTCACAATGTTGTGCAACCATTGTTACTATTTTCAAAACACTTTTATCACCACCAAGGAGAAACTACCCTTTAAGTAACCTCCCCCAACTTCTTTCTCCCACCCAACCCCCAGTAACCTTTCATATATTTCTTTACCTATTAATCTGCCTATTCAAGATATTTCATTTATGTGAGCTCATACAAAATTTGTCCCTTTATGTCAGGCTTACTGCACTTAACACAAAGTTTTCAAGGTTCATCCATGTTGTACCATGTATTAGATTTTCATTACATTTAATGGCTGAGTAACATTCAGTTGTATGTAGATACCACATTATGGTTTTCTATGCATCTTTTAATAGACACGGGTTGTTTCCACCTTTTGGATATTGTGAATAATCCTACTGTAAACATTCAAATACAAGTATCTATTACATTTAAGACTTTTTTTTTTAAACTGTTCCTTGCGTAGCAGGGCTACCTCATAGGCAGTGTGCCCACAGTAGCCACATTTAAGACTTTTGGTAACTATGGCCCAATTGCCTTTCAGCAAGAAAGTCACTAAAACTCATAGCCATATACATACATACATACACACATATATATATGTATACGAATGCTCATTTTATCATGATCTGCCATCTTAACAGATTTAAATGGCACTTAGATTTTTATTAGTAGTGATGGTAAACATTTTCCTTATGTTCCTTCTTCTAGGAACCACTAATTCTTATGCTTGGCCCACATTCCCCACTAGAGCGTTTCTTTACTGGTTTCTTAGACTATTTTATGTAATTAGATTAAGGGTACTTTATACAATTAGACTAAAAGCCCTTTTATTAATCACATAGTTTGTGGGTTTTTTGCTGTTTCCTCTCAATTTTGTTTTTAATGATTGTTCACATTCAAAAGGTGTTCATGCAGATGTAGTTAAGTCCTACCAGTTTCTTGAACATTCTTGTCATATTGGTAACTATAGTTTCTAACTTTTTATGTCATACTTAGGAAGTCCTCTTGAAATATAAAATAATTCACTCACATTTCCTTCTAGTACTTTATAGTTTCATTTAATATTAATAGCAAATTTTAAATTATCTAGAATTTATTTTGATGTATAGTATGGAGCAGAAATGTAACTTTTCTCCAATATCACTTACTAACTAATCCATCCTTTCCCCAAATTAAAAATCTCACCTGTATAATGTACTACACTCTTCTTTATACTTGAAAACACACACACACACACACACACACACACACACACACACACACACACACACTCTGTTATTCTGGTCTGTTTATCCCTTGGCCTGTTCTATGTTATCTTAACTGTTATAAGCTTATCATCAAATTTAATATCTGGCAGGACACGTCACCATTTGTTTTTTTTTTTAATTTTCTATGCCAATCTCCCAGTAATTTTTCAGACAAATATTAAGATCATTATGTCAAGCCATAAAACAATCCCCCAAGGTTATCGATTATTTTGTGGAAAGCTGGCATCTCAATAATGTCTCTTCATCCACTTAAAATGTATGCTCTTCCATCTGATCAACTCTCCCTTACTATCCCTCTGTTCATTTTTATAGTATTTTTCATAAACTCCACACATTTCCTGTTAAGTTTATTCCAAGGTTCTGTTTTTTTTGCTATTGAAAATGAATCTTTATGAATCTTTTATAGAACCTAGCACAATGCCTTACACAGAGCAAACACAACATATTTGAGTAAATGAATAACTACTGGTTTCACATTTACATACTCCACTAGTTTCCATACCTTTAGTTTACAAAAAAAAACTTTTTAAAAAATCCACTAAGATCATTTTTAGTACTCGTATTTCATGTTCCTCCCATTCATTCCCTGTATTTAATCAACAGAGCCATCATTTTTTTCTTTGACTTTTTCTTGAGTTTACTTTCTCTATTCAAATCTTACTCATCTTAATCTAGTTACTATCATGCTCAATTCAGAGAAACCATATTATTGTATATTTAGAAACTGTGCACTCACCAACCAATGCCTCAAATCAAAATTAGATTCCATAGTCTCTGTGGAATTCAATATTGACTATTCCTGCCTTAAAATGTTCCACACTTTGTCTCTACATACTATCCTTGCCTTAAATATTCTTTGCTATTAATATTTTCTCTATTTCCAGTGTTCTACATGATTATCCATAGCCATTGTTTATTCAAATATTTAACCATGGTGATGTCATTTATAATAGCTGCTACATTATGGATCTTTCCCTTTGAAAGGCCATTCTTCTTTCTCCTTTTCTATTCTTACTAACACCATCCTTACTCAGGTCCTTAAATCTCTAATACTATAATCGTTTTCTTATCCCATGTTTCCTCCCACTCTATCCTGCATACCAGTGGATTAATCATGTTACCAGTATTTCTCTAGGCCTGCCCTAAAACTTTTAACAGCTTCTTAAGGCTTAGTGCAAAATTCTTCAAACTGTTCCTCAGGGCAATAAGGGTGCTACTGATGTGCCTCTGTGGCTACACTGGTGGAACCTGGTAAGCTCCACATTCTTCAACCCAAGTTGATTAAGGCAACGCCGCGTTTGTCTCTTTTACACATGGAGGTTATTTAGCAACATTCTGCTTGAAGAGACAACTCTACTACTTGTGTGGGGAAAAAATTTTGGAAAAGTTCAAGAGAACAAAGAAATCCCACTTAGCCAACTTGCATTCGGTCTTCACAAAATTGCCCCCAGAATTCCTTACTTTTGAGCTTTATCACTGTATCTTTCAATCAATTTTGAACAAATCAGACTTCTCTCCTCATTGTTCTTCATATAAAACAATGTTTTATCTCCATACCTTTGCTCACTTCATTATCCCTGCCCACAATACCCTTCTGTCTGCTTATATAAACTATACCTTCACGAGTCTTCCTTATCCCTCAAGGCCCAGCAAAAATGCTAGCCCTACAAGAAATTTTTCATGATTCCAACAGCTCTCAGTAATTTCTCGCTCTTTCAAACTCCCACAGTACTATCTATCAATCACTCACATTTGGCAATATCATGTGATGCCCTTCCTTTTTACTTTTTGAGACGGAGTCTTATTCTGTCACCCAGGCTGAAGCGCAGTGGCACGATCTCAGCTCACTGCAACTTTCGCCTCCCGGGTTCAGGTTATTCTCCTGCCTCAGCCTCCCAAGTAGCTGGGATTACAGACATGCACCACCATACCTGGCTAATTTTTTATATTTTTGGTAGAGATGGGGTTTCACCATGTTGGCCAGGCTGGTCTAGAACTCCTGACCTCAAGTAATCTGCCCGCCTCGGCCTCCCAAAGTGCTGGGATTACAGGCATGAGCCACCACGCCTGGCCGATGCCCTTCCATTTTGACTGACCACCAATCTTAACAGTCTAATCAGAATATAAGATCCCTGAAAACACATGATCACAATATATATCCTACATAGCTTCTCAAACACTGAGCATAGTACTGAACAACAGCTGTCTAACAAGTCTTACTGATTACTTGTACGTATGTTTCATTACTTCCTTACTCAGAAACATAAAGTGATTTACAAGTATTTTCCACATCAAACTCTTTCATCTGGTAATCAACCCTTTCTTTCCTTATTAATACCACACCTCATTTTCACTTCTCCCATGGACTCAATAACCTTCACCACCCTTCACTAAACCTTCCTCACCCAAGGAATGTCCTGACGTCCTTGATATCTATTCAAATTCTGCCTAGTCTTCAGAGACCAGTTCAAGTTACATTTCATCAAAAAATAAAATAAGAAAAGCTAAATAGACTATTCCAGCCACACTGATTTTCTCTGAACTCCTCCTAAACTTACTTTTAGACTTACACAATTTAAACTTTTGGACTCACATGATTCTAAATATACCACATTATATCTTAAAATGTCCTATAATCATTTCAGATGCATTAATTTTACCAATCCAACTGGCTATGGGCTATGAACCATTTCCTATTCAATATTTATTTTTATATCCCTTAGGAAAAATAATAAGCACAAAATAATTCTTAAAAGAGTGCCAGGAAATACAGAGGCTAAATGGTTAAACATAATCCCTGAAGATTAATCCTTAATAATGCATTAAAACAAAAAGAATTAGCCATGAATTAGTGTGCAGTCTAAGAAGGAGAAGTGCATATAGCAGAAGTTAAGCCATCTCAAGGAATTAATTTTCAGGTATAAAATTAGTGAGCGAGTACCTAGTGCAGGAGTTAGCAAACTTTTTTGGCAAAGTGCTAGATAAATATTTTGACCTCTGCTTGTCATATAGTCTCTGTCACAACTACTAACTCTGCTGCATAATGGACAATATGTACATGAATGAGCGTGGCTTTGTCCAAAGAAACATTCATTACAAAAAATTGGGCATTGGGCCAGATGTGGCCTGTGGGCCAGAGTTTGACAATTCCTGGCCCATTCTGGAAGTGGTTTTAAAACTTTTGTTTTCTGTTTGTTTTTAGTTTTCATTTTTAAAGAACATTTTTCTCAAACCTTAAGCAGAATCCCAATCTTTTTTCTTTTTTAGGGGGGATGGAATCTTGCTCTGTCACCAGGCTGGAGCACAGTGGTGCAATCTTGGCTCACTGCAACCTCCGCCTCTCTGGCTCAAGTGAGAATCCCAATCTCAAAAAAAAAAAAAAAAAAAAATGTTGCTCTAGTTAAGCAGGGAAGGAGAAAAAAGACTGCAGAGTTACAGAGCTGCCCACTAGACGTTCCCCTCTCTAACACCTTCTTTCCCATCTCTAAAGCTCTGCAGGATACAATTCGTTTTATTTTTATTTTTGGAGGAGTCTCGCTCCGTCACCCAGGCTGGAGTGCAGTGGCGCAATCTCGGCTCACTGCAACCTCTATCTCCCAGGTTCAAGCGATTCTCCTGCTTCAGCCTCCTGAGTAGCTGGGACTACAAGTGCGCGCCACCACGCCCAGCTAATTTTTGTATTTTTAGTAGAGACAGGGTTTCACCATGTTGGCCAAGCTGGTCTCGAACTCCTGACCTCAAGTTATCTGTCAGCCTTGGCCTCCCAAAGCACTGGGGGATTACAGGCGTGAGCCACCACGCCTGGCCCAGGACACAATTTGAATGCATTTAAACCCCTAAGTTTTACAGGTAAGAAAATAAACACAGGGGGGAATGAATTTATATACATTATGAAAACTTGAGCCAGTGCTAAAATTAAAACTTAGAACTTCACTCCTGATTGTGTGCCTTAACCATGAACCCATAATAGTTAACTTGGGGAGTCAGTAAGGAATCAAGTGGAAAGACAAAGCACTTTATTATGCTTCATAACTTCTGATAAGGCCTTATTATTTAATTGTAGTTGGATTTGAGGATTTGAATCCACAAAGATTTTTTTTTTGCCCTTTCAAGAATCTTTATACTTAGATCTATCTGCTACTTGACAATCAAAACAAAATTCCAGAACTGTCACGGAGGTAAACAGTAAATAGCTCGTGATCCTTGTTATGAAACCATAATTAGGAATTTAATGGCCCTAAATTTGTCTCTTTTCCATACGATTTTTCATAGGCTACTGCTAAATTTTAATATCAGAGTCCAGCAAAAAGAACTAGAAGATGATTAAGTCTAAAGAATTAATGACATGCTTTAAAATAGAATTTCCAAAGTATATATCCAGAGGAATAACTACTGATAGGCCATAAGCAGAGAATTTCCAAACAGAATATTCATTCAAGATCATCATTACTGAAGAGAAAACTGGCACATTTTAAAAAATGATTTATCTTCATATCCAGAGTAGGATTACCTCTGACTCTAAAATATAACCCTGACAATCTCTGACATTTTCTCTAAGTTGTGTGTAAATGTCTTTAGAATAAACTCATCCTCACATATGAAGATTAAGTACAAGATACTGTTGGAAATTTAAAATAGCAATAATTGGGAAAAATTAGACAAGAGCATGGACACAATATTATTAATGCTCTAGAACATTTTAGTGTATATTATTCTAACAATAATCACACGGATTTTTTTTCAGCTGAAGGATAATAACCATGTGGAAAACATGTACTGCATACATTCTAAGTATCCACTTTAATCAAATTTGAGGCGAAAGGGGAGCTTTATAAGGTGCCAAAATACTATAGGTTTTATTTTTGTATTATCATGCTAAACAGTTCTTTCACTGATTGAAGGCTGCTTGAGTTCCTAAAAGTTTTTATAATTTTTACATGACTCACATAGACTAAAACAGAAAATTTCCAAAAATTATTGTGAAATAACATATAGGCTTATAGACACAGTGCTTGCCACATTTAAAAATGAATTTAGAAGATACAAATAATTGCTGAAATTTCTCTCATATGCATGAAACATTTCTTTTTATTTTCACGGATACTGTTAAGAATTAGAAATAAGGTAATTATATAAACACATTATTTTAGTATTAAGAAAAAATATTCATCTGTGTTTTCACTGAAGGATTCTAACTATAAAACATAACCTTCAGAATTCTCATCAGCTTCTCTCCTTAAGTCACTGTAAGATAGATACACCTGTAGCAAATAAAGAATAAAGGGAGCCTTGTAGGAATATTATTGAAATTTTAAATAAAAAGAAAAGTGAGATAGAGGATAAAGTGCATTTTATAGTATTTTCCTACAGTTTTGAGTAAATATGAATATCTTATTTCAAATTTAATAATTATTATTAGAAATTATCCTTAATCTACAGAGTCAAAACTACTTAAGAACATTTTAAAAATAAGAGGCTTTCATAACAGTTAACATAAAATCAAATGCATACTACAATTAAAATTACAAAGACTTCCGTTTTCTGGCTGTTCTAAGAAATGTCTTAATAGAAAATTTTATGTCAACATTATGCCATGGGCAATGAGATAATGCTCTCCCTATAAGATACACTTTTTATTTATTTATTTATTTATTTTTGAGACAGAGTCTCTCTCTTGTTGCCCACGCTGGAGTGCAATGGTGTGATCTTGGCTCACTGCAACCTCTGCCTCCCAGGTTCAAGCAATTCTCCTGCCTCAGCCTCCCAAGTAGCTGGGAATACAGGTGTGTGCCACCATGCCCAGCTAATTTTGTATTTTTAGTAGAGATGGGGTTTCACCATGTTGGTCAGGCTGGTCTCGATCACCTGACCTCAAGTGATCCGCCCACCTCGGCCTCCTAAAGTGCTAGGATTACAGGCGTGAGCCACCGCGTATGGCCAAGATAAACATATGTTTTCTAACCATTTAGAGCAAATAAAATTGGAAAGGTATAAATAAAATAATGTCTCACAATAATATAATAAAATTTCTATCAGATGCAAGCAACAACTATTTCCTTTCATGCTCACAAACATTTTTCTGTGGCTCAGAAATATGAACCATATACAGGCAATTCATGTACTTTCTAAGAGACAAGAATGAAAATTACAGAAAATGCTATATGACCTCGTTAGTAAAGAAATAACAGTTCTATTACCTACAGCAAAAGACAGGAGTTTAGGATGTCAGGAACAGTTTAAAGCCTCTATGATCAAGTAATATTCTCTGAGTCACTACTTTGTTAGTTGTGTGGGAGTGTAGCAAAAGGATTATTGCTAATCCTTTAACTGTGAATAATGATTTATTGAACAATTCCTACATAAATTCCAACTGTGACCACAAAATCAACCCCTCATAGGCCAAGATATTTTCCTCTTATATAACAAAATTAAAATGTTTAAAAATATACACACACAATTAAATCAATTACAAATTGATTTATATGTGTGCAGTAAAGGCTTTACAGCTTTTATTTACAGCATTCATTTTTATTTTAATCTTAAACAAGTCTAAGTATGGCCCTTCCACTTAGGTATCAATTAAGAGTGGTAACAAAATTTCAAAATACTTTTTCAAATAGGTGACAGTCATTCAGAGAAATAAAGAAGCAAGACATTAGAATGAAGTTAAGTGCATCTTTTGTCAGTAACGTGTGCTGCTCCCACTGGCCTCATAAACAAGCTGCTCCTTTTTGAATAAAGCAGACCTTCAATTTAAATTTATGGAAAGACTAAAGCAGGAGAGCCTGCACTCACAATTTTAATAACCTATTAAGTTGCGACTTCAGATTCATTTTATAACCACGCTCCTTAGGGAGCTATGCTATCTGGATAAAGATAAAATTTTTTTCCTTTAAAGATAAATAGCATCATTAATCTGCAACATTTCTTTTCTATTATCTTTCGAAATGAGGAGTTATTTTGTTCTGATCTTGAGGTAATTAGCCTTCATTCACTAGCCTGAAAATGTCTGTGTTCTGAAAATTAAAAATGTGTCATTAAGTGGAATTTACCATAATGTCATTTATCTTTATATAGTTCATCAGTGACAGCAATGGGCCTGGGAATCCATCAGCTTTTACCAAGGAAGCATTAAAACAAATTGAAAAACAGAATAATCCCAGACACTCTTTAACACAGTCAAAGCCATTTGGGTAATTAAATAGTGGTATTTAAAGTTTTAATTTAGATTTTTCCCTCTGTTCATCAGTAGTCAAATGAGATGTTCATATTCATAACTGTTTGTAATAAAAGGTTTCATAAAGCAAGCAGAATATCAATGTTATTAAAATTTAATGTAACATAGGGTGAGCTTTAATCTACAAAATAAAGTTTTTATTTTCCTACACCCTGATTTATAAGATTACATCAGAAATATCTCTTTCTTCAACTGTATAGGTTGCAATATTAGTTTCACAAAAACTGATATTCAATACCCAAATAACAAAAAAGTATATGACTTGAAATTGAGCTTCATTATTACCAATGCTGAGGAAGAATAGTATCTCTTCCACCTTTAATTTGTTTTCACTAAACATACTCCTCCAACAATTATTGTACAGAATTATGAGACACAATTATGAAAATAAACTCTGCTTCATAAAACATCAAAGAAAATAAGAATTAAATTAATGTAATAAATAATTCAACTAATAAATAAGAATTAAAATAAAATAAGTATTTTGTGGTGGTAAAGGAGCACAGAGGCATTGTTACTATATAACTAATTCTATCCATATAGTGATGAGAAACAACACGACAGAAACATAGCTCAAAAATCATATTGTTAGTTAAGACATTAAAAATACCCTGAATAGACTTCTAAAAAACACAACATAATGAAAGCAGCTGAAAAAGCTAAACTGTCATAAAAATGTTTCTTAAGTATAATAGCTTCAATGCACAGCTTCATTCAACATAATAAAAACATCCAGTATGTCCCTTTCTATGTATCTAGAAAAACCGAATCTGGGATAATGTTTCCTTAACATAAAAATAATCTAACAACATAAAGATTAACTTAATGCAGCATGGCTCAGTACTAAGTAATTTATATTCTGAACTTACATAGTATACTCAAATGTGTTAATGAGTGTTTCAGTATGATTTTATGTTAAACTACTGGATAACTTAAATTTAAAGCTTTGCCACATAGATATGCAAATTAAGATTTCAGATGTCTTGGGGAACAATCCTAGGAATAAGTGATTCTTTGTAAAATATCTAAAATAGAAATTAATTTTCTTGTCTGATGAATTCTAACACACAAATACACACACACACACACACATACACACCATTGAGCGAATCTCATACCAAATATTGGTTAAGGACCTAAAAACTTAGAAAAAGCTATCTATCATCTCCGATTCCCAACTAGCTTTTCAATGTTGTTGATTTACTCTGCACTGAGCCAGGGAAATGGAAATATGCAATATTAAATAAGTATATGATTTTATCATCCATTTCTTTAAAACAATGTGCAAGATAATAAATCAGAAATTTTTATAATCAAAACACTTTAGAAACAATCAATTTTACAATAAGGAAAGGAAAGGCACTCTCAGGAGGTGAAAACTTGGCATATTGGTACTAGTCAACAACAGCACAAGTAGGATTAGAATTCATGTATCCAGGCTATTCTTATACCATCTGCCTTGCAGATCAATGAATCTAAAACATTTACTCAATATTTATGCATTTACTAAGTATGAATCATCAGATAAATAGACATTACTAACAATAAAAAGCATATTCTGAATTTGACACCTTGTTAAAAGTTTTCAGACAGTATTAGGATCCCTGTATCAATAAAGCAACTAACAAGGGTTCTGTTGCTGCCTTGAATGATCTGCTTTTGAAATTTTAACTAATATTTCTTAAAATAACATATTTACCAATATAATTTCTAAGTCTGTCTTTATTCATCCTGTGGAACTACAGGTTTTCTGTTATATTGTCATTTTAGCTAAAACTATTTGCTTGCCCCCTTTAAACAAGGAAATAACACTATCCAGGTCAGGTTGAGCAGTAATTACATTATCTTCAAAATTGTGTGGAGGAAGGACCTTTTGGTCAAATACAACTTTCAAAAAAAGTTGAAGCTCAAATAATTTGTGGTTATCCTCATTAATCCTTCTTGGTACTAAACATTACTAAACCAATTTTATTGGTAAATAAAAATTCAGCAGAAAAGTATACATGTATTTGCAATATTGTTTAAAATGGTTTTAAAAAACAGAAAACAGTTGAATATCTAAGCGAAGAGTTCAGTAAATTCCGAACATCCACTCTGTCTATTCTATAGAATATAATTACAGCTATTAAAAAGTCAAGCCCTCTATCAACCAGGGAAACTTACATAGTAAAAGTGAAAAAGGTATGTCTCAGAGAAGTCTGTAAAAAAAACAATGACCCCAAAACTACTGTGCATGTGTTCTTTGGACAAGCATGGAGAAAGATATAGAAGGATTCAGAAGGTGTATACACTGATATATTGTTGATGTACAGGTAGAGAAGCTGTTAACACTGTGTTTAGGGGTCAAGGAAGCAAGAAGAGGAAGAAAAGTATTAACATTTTCTTAATTAATCCTGAGAGAGAAGCAATTCATCCAACAAGGTGAACGATCTGTTCGATGGGGACTCTGAAGTAAGGCTGGGCTGCCTTAAGCTGATACCAGAGCCTTAGAGTTCCACTGTTGGCAGAATTATTTGCTAAGATCTAATTTTCAGTTCATCTCAATGATTCAGATAGCCAACTAAAAAGAAAAGAAAGAGAAAGAGAAAAAGAAAGCAAGCTATTTCACAATTACACCCTTAAGAAAAGCAATTTTTTTTAAAGATCTGCTCTTTTCTAAAGTAGAAAAAGTCTTTATTTTCCCACTCCAAAAATTTTTTTAAAGGAATCATTAGGATAATGGCTGACTAAATCAGTATGCCTGTACAAACAAATTAAAATATTTCTAAGTAAAATTTTTTTTTTAGGTATGGTAGAAGATTGGCTCAGGGTTTCTCAATCTTGGTACTACTGACATTTTGGGCCACAAAAACATTTATTTAGTGGCAGGATGTTTAGCAACAACTCTGGCCTCTACCCACTGAATGCCAGTAGTGCCTCCTCCGCCTCCCCAGCTGCCACTAGGTTGTAACAATCAAAAATGTCTCCAGACATTATCAAAATGATCCTGGGAGGTAAAATCATCCCCAGTGATTTTGCCAAAGATTTTCTTTTTTTTTTTTTTTTTTTTTTTTTTTTTTTTTTTTTTTGAGACGGAGTCTCGCTCTGTCACCCAGGCTGGAGTGCAGTGGCGCCATCTCGGCTCACTGCAAGCTCCGCCTCCGGGTTCATGCCATTCTGTCGCCTCAGCCTCCCAAGTAGCTGGGACTACAGGCGCCTGCCACTACACTCGGCTAATTTTTTGTATTTTTAGTAGAGATGGGGTTTCACCGTGTTAGCCAGGATGGTCTCGATCTCCTGACCTCGTGATCCGCCCACATTGGCCTCCCAAAGTGCTGTGATTACAGGCGTGAGCCACCGCGCCCGGCCCTAGCCACAGATTTTCTAAGCGAAATGACTTAATGTTTTACACTAGCAACAGTCCTTTGCAGACTGCTGAGCAACATTTCCATATTAATATTCTACAGTGAAAAATGTTAAAGATAAAATAATATCACATAATTAACATCCTATTACTAAGACATGAAAACTGAAGCTTTAAAAGTATCCAGAAATGAGAACTATCATTACAAAACATACTACTTATCTGCATTATAAATAAAAAAAAATCTCTAGTGTGAATCAAAGCACTGTGAGAGAACTCAGTATTTGATGATAAAGATGGAAGAAAAATAATATGTATAATGTAATCTATCTTGGCTGCATATACAGCTTATGTTATTAAAAAACCAAAACCAAAACCAAAACCCCAAAACAAACAAACCAAAAAACCCTACAAGTAAAACCATATGTATGCTGAATCACTCTCTCCCACTAAACTTAAACTTCACACCTTCATTGAAAAAATTATGACCCAATTCAAGACTTTACATTTCTAACATTTGTAAAAATCTGTCTTTCTCCATCGTTCATACAATGTCATAAGGTAACAAAACATATATTAATCCCTAAACGTTTTGATCATGCGAAACACTTAATTCCCAGCTTACTGGAAATTCTTTAGAAATAAAAATAAAATGTTTAAAACTGTCACACTGTTCCAGCTAACCAGCAAAACTCACTATATGAATGATCAACTGGAGACATTAGCATTCCTGGCAGAAGGAACTACACAGAAAAGTAAAGCCACAAGAAAATGTTTAAGTATAAGGCCCTAGGGAGTATGTGTACAGGAGAAAGAGGCAGAGACAGACTGAAAGACATAGAGACTAATCATCTGACCAGACAAATGGAGTGACTTTCAAACCTCTTTTAGTTATAGAGCCCTATTTTAAAGAAACCAAAATATGCAAAAGAGATTAAAGCCTAAAGGTTGAGGATAGAAATCTGGTGACTTGACCCCTACCTTTCCAAGGGAATGCCTAAGAGGCTTCAAAAAAAACCTGTTTAGAAACCAGTGGAATAGGGTAGAGAAAATCTGTGAGGGGACTAAGAAATAAGATTTTAAAAAGTAGGTTGGGGCATATTATGAATTGCCTTAGATGCTGGTTAAATAGTTATATTTAGTAGATATCAGGGAGCCATTGCAGATGTCAAAATGGGAGGGAAATGAATGATGTAATGCACACAAGAAACAAATGAAATAAACCTTGTTCATTATTATACACTACTCCTGAAAAATCTTGGTGTTTTCTACATAATCTTATTTATCACATGAAAAAGATCAGTAATATAAGATAGGATGAACAGTATGAGGGCTAAATATAGTTTAGTGAAAGGATACATTTTAATATTATAAATACTAAATGTTCATAGATGTGGTTATTTCTCACTGAAAAAGTACAGCCTCTTCTATGAGTCTCTTGAAGGTCCACGGCTGCAAATGCAGACTTTTAGATGTCATTCTCCGTGTCAAGTGGCAGCCAGCAGTCACACCAACTGTCAGTTTGACAAGTCCTCTCTTAGCATTCAGGGATAAAGTGCACATACACAACACCCTTCCTGACAAAAAAGAAGCCAGGGAGATGAGAGCCAGCCACTAGAGGGAAGACAATCAAGCTGGCAGGAAAGGACTGGCTATGACAATAAACCAGAGAGCCAAGAAAGGGTGAAAGAAAGCTTGCTCACTCTGAAGCCAAAAAATAAAAAAATAAAAATAAATAAAAAAACAGGAAGAAGAAACAGAAAAAGAAAGAAACCTAATCCTATATCATGGGGTCAAATGAAGAGAAAAAAAAACTGTCCTTGGTGGATTCAAAGAGAAACCAATAATCCAGAAAGGCTTCTGACTTCATGTATTACTATCTGCCCAAGTAATCTGCCCACAAATAATCTTTAGCATGAACATGTCCACTCCAGTAACTTATTCTCTCCAGAACACACCCCTACCTAACTACTCCACACTTCTCCAGAGTCCTAATGCTGCTATATGCCCACTGATTTCCCTTATAAACACAAATATTTATCCAGTTTATTCAGTCATGCATTCAAGAAGTATTTGAGTACTGTTTCTAGGCCCTGGGGATGCAGAAATGAAACAAAAAGGGTTCTTCTTTAACAGGTAGAGTGAAACCATTAAATACATATATACACACATGTGTATACATACATATGCATATAAAACATTAAGAAAAGGGGGAGAGAAAATGAAAAGGGTAGACAAAGATGTTATTTTATACAGGTGAGGGGAATTCTCTCTGATGATATTTGAGCAAGATTGAAAAAATTGAGGAAGACAGCCATGTAAATATTGAGGTTGGAAAGCATACACAACAGAGGGCACGATACCTGCAAAAGCTCTAAGACAGGAATATACTTGGAACTTTAAAAAAAAAATGGCCAGGCGTGGTGGCTCATGCCTGTAATCCCAGCACTGTGGGAGGCCGAGGTGGGCAGATCACAAGGTCAGGAGATCGAGACCATCCTGGCTAACACGGTGAAACCCCGTCTCTACTAAAAATACAAAAAGTTAGCCAGGCGTGGTTGTGGGCGCCTGTAGTCCCAGCTACTCGGGAGACTGAGGCAGGCAAATGGCGTGAACCTGGGAGGTGGAGCTTGCAGTGAGCTGAGGTCGCACCACTACACTCCAGCCTGGGCAACAGAGTGAGACTCCATCTCAAAAAAAAAAAATTGCGGTTGTATTTTATTATGCCAGCCCCAGTAAAAACAGAAAAGAATAAAGTTATTAATATTTTTTAAAATTTTTTAAAAAGAAGTCAATGTGGCTGAAGCAGAGCATTGATAGGTGATAGTATTAGGAGATAAGATCAGAAAGATAAAGAACCATATCATATATAGCCTTTTTTGCCATGAAATGAATGAGCTGTGTGCAAAGAAATGACATTGTCTGATTTATGTGTTAAAAGGACCTCTCTAGCTGCTTGGTGGAAAAATGAAGAACAAAAATCTAGACACCACTCCAACAGTTCAAACTATGATAATGGTGAATTGGAACAAAGTGATGGCAGAGTAGATGGGTAAGAAGTAACCAGGTTCTGATTCTAAGTATATTTCAAAGGCTTAAAGTGACAAGTTTTGCTGCTGGTGTGGACATGAGATGTAAGTACCAGAAAGCAGCTCAGGATTACTAGAGATGCTGCCAGCCCATAATCATCACTCAATATGATCTGTTACACATTACCTATTCTCATTTCACCTCATTCAACACTGCCATTTCTAAACTTGCTCTCACCCTTCTTTTTGCTGAAGCAGCACTCCTGCCTATTAAAGCTAGAAGTGAGAAAGGGTTGGTGAAGGCAATCTAGTAGACTGTGTTTCAGAAGCTTTAATAGGCCGGGAGTGGTGGCTCACGTCTGTGATCCTAACACTTTGGGAGGCCGAGGCAGGTGGATCAATTGAGCTCAGGAGTTCAAGACCAGCCTGGGCAACAATGGTGAAACCCCATCTGTACTAAAAATACAAAAATTAGCCGCGTGTGGTGGTGCACGCCTGTAATCTCAGCTATTCGAGGGGATGAGGTGGGAGGATCACCTGAGCCCAGGAGGTCGAGGATGTGTGATCATGCCACTGCACTCCAGCCTGGGTGACAGAGTAAGACCTTGTCTGAAAACAAACAAACAAAAGCAGAAGCCGTAACAAAAAATACACTGGAGAAACCAGGAGCACCAAATCATTCATTTAAAAAACTGATGTGAACACCACTAACACAGAAAGGAGGGCCAGAGTACAGGAGGGCCTACTAATTTACTTAACAAAAACTTAAAACTATTCACTAAACCTCGGTCATAAAAAGTGATAAAACGATGAACATAAATATCAAAAATAAAACTTATTAATTTGAAAAAAAATGCTGGCAATGATTAAACAGATAGGAAATCACACCAGAGAAATAGAAATTATTTTTTTAAAGCAATGGAAAATTTAGAAGTAGAAAATATAGTATCTGAAATATTTTTAAAAATCACTGAATGGGCTAAATAGCAGATTGGATATGACAGAAGGAAAAGTTAGTAGGCATGAACATAGATCAGTAAAAATTATCCGATCCGACAAACAGAAAATCGATTTTTTTTTTGTTTTAAACAGAGCATCATAAACTGTAGGACACAGCAACGGATTACCACATGTATTACAGGAATACAAGAATGACCAGAAGGAAAAAATGAAGCAAGAAAAAAGTTTTAGTCTTGAACACAAGGCAAAAAAAAAAAAAAAAAAACTCTGGAGAAATAATAAATAAAAGTTTGATCTCCAACCAGGAAAAATACAAAAAATGTACAACCAGGCACATCACAAACTACTAGAAAGTTTAAATACAGAAATAATCTTGAAAGAAGGCAGAGAAAAATGACACATTAACGTATAGAAAAAAAATGACTACTGACATCATAAAAAATAATAAATGCCAGAACACAGTAGAAATACACATTGCAAGTGCTAAAAAAAGCTTTCAAATGAGATTATATGCTCCAAATATATCATTTAAGAATGAAAGCAAAATTACACTTTCAGTTATGATGGAGTAACAAGGACTACATATACTTCAACTCTAAACAATAAGAAGACACAACTGTATTCATTCATTCATTTAGAGACAGAGTCTGGCTTTGTCATCCAGGCTGGAGTACAGTGGTAAGATCATAGCTCACTGTAGCCTCAAACTCCTGGGTTCAAGCGATCCTCCCTTCTCAGCCTCTCCAGTAGCTGGGACTACGGTTGCACACCACCATGACCAACGATTTTTTTTTTTTTTGGAGAGACTACAGTTTCACTAAGTTATCCAGGCTGATATCAAACTCCTAGCCTCAAGAGATCCCCCTGCCTCTGCCTGAAACACTTTTAGACACACAGACATGGCAGAATAGTGATCCTGGAGAGAAAGGAAATAGGTAAGTTGAATCTTACATTGAGAAGGTTTCCTGGCCACCTTGTAAGGGAGGAGGTAGTCAAACCAGACCCCATCTACGTAATTGAGTGTCAAGGACAGATCACAGAATGTACACAGGTCAAAGTCGCTGCAATTTCCAGAGAAAAATACCAGAGAAACTGGCCACATAGAAAGCTAGGCCCAGCATCGTGGCTCACACCTGTAACCTCAACACTTTAGGAAGCTGAGGCAAGTGGATCGCTTGAGCCCGGGAGTTTGAGACCAGCCTGGGCAACATGGGCAAAACCCATCTCTACAAAAAATGCAAAAATTAGCTGGATGTGGTGGTACATACTTGTAGTCCCAGCTACTCGGGGGGCTGAGGTGGGAGGATTGCTTGAGTCCAGCAGGTTGCGCTGAGCCAAGATCGCGCCACCACACTCCAGCCTGGGCAACAGAGGGAGACCCTGCCAAAACGAAGCGGGAAAGGTGAAGGCGGGAGGGAAGAGGAATGAGAGAGAAGTGGGGAGGAGGAGGGAGAGGGAGAGGGGGAAGGGGGAAGGGAGGGAGAAAGCCGGGAGGGGAAGAGAGGGAGGGGAAAGAAAGCTGAAGATTGGTTTCATCAATTTTCTGGCTTAGTACTATTCTCTTGTGTGGGGATGGAAGGAACTACTTGAAATCAGGGAAAGAACCCTCCTACATGCTTTCCACACAAAACCTACCTTTTAGACATATATCTGTTAAAAATAAAAGAACTAAAAAATGGCAGAAAAGATAGCAAGAGTGGCTGCCTATATTAATATTAGAAAAAGCAGATTTTAGAACAAATGACGTTGTCAGGAATAAAGAGAAACATTTAATAATGACTAAGGGGTCAATTCACCAAAATATCATAATACTCCTAAGAATAGGGCTTCAAAATGTACAAATTAGGAACTGACTAAGCGGAAAGAAAAAAAAAAAAACTCCAACAAATCCACAATTGTACAAATGCATGATTTCAACTTTCCTCACCAAATAAAAAAAGTGGAGCTGGCTGGGCAAGGTGGCTGATGCCTGTAATCCCAGCACTTTGGGAAGCCAAGGCAGGTGGATCACAAGGTCAGGAGTTCGAGATCAGCCTGACCAACATGGTGAAACCCCATCTCTACTAAAAATACAAAAAATTAACCAGGTGTGGTCGCATGTGCCTGTAATTCCAGCTACTCAGGAGGCTGAGGCAGGAGAATTGCTTGAACCTGAGAGGTGGAGGTTGCAGTGAGCTGAGATTGTGCCTCTGCATTGCAACCTGGGCGACTGAGCGAGACTCCGTCTCAAAAAAAGTGGAGCTTACAAAGTACCCATCAACAGAGCCAAGATGACATAAACCATGACACATCTAAGCTGTGAAATATTATGTAGTCACTTTAAAGTGTATTAAAGTATACTAGTTGTTTTTCAGGTGGGACACTCTCATTTTCTAGTAAGGGAGGAACCTGATAATGTTCTCCAGGCCTTTTAGAAAAGAGTTGTTCTTTTGGCCACATACACGTGAAGCTACAAGAAAGGTGATACTGCAGACATCAAGGGAATAGGTACTGTTCAAAAAGGAACACCTCACAAATGTTACCATGGCAAACCTGGAAGAGTCTACAATGTTACCCTGCACGCTGTTGGCATTGTTGTAAACAAACCAGTTAAGGGCAAGATTCTTGCCAAGAGAATTAACCTGCATACTGTGCAGGTGCTAAAGCACACTTAAGATGGGGTTAAACTTTTCCTGTTGTCATGAACCCGCTCCCACAATAACTGCATTAATCCATTCATGAGGGCAGAGCCCTCATGACCCAAACATATCTTAAAGATCCCACCTCCCAACATCTCCATATTGGGGATCAAATTTCTAACACATGACCTTTGGGGGACACATTCAAACCATAGCAGACATGTTAAGTGCTTTGCCCATGATCAAACAGCAAAATCCAAAGTCAGCCTAACTGAAAAGCCCATGCTTAGTTCAGAAAATTATTTTATCTCAGAAAAAAACTACTTTAAAATTCATATGAAGCCAAAAAAAGAGCCCACATAACCAAGACAATCCTAAGCAAAAAGAACAAAGCTGGAGGCATCATGCTACCTAACTTCAAACTATACTACAAGGCTACAGTAACCAAAACAGCATGGTACTGGTACCAAAACAGACATATAGACCAGTGGAACAGAATAGTGACCTCAGAAATAAGACCACACATCTACAACCATCTGATCTTTGACAAACCTGACAAAAACAAGCAATGGGGAAAGGATTCCCTATCTAATAAATGGTGCTGGGAAAACTGTCTAGCCATATACAGAAAACCGAAATTGGACCCCTTCTTTACACTTCATACAAAAATTAACTCAAGATGGATTAAAGACTTAAATGTAAAACACAAAACCATAAAAACCCTAGAAGAAAATCTAGGTGATACCATTCAAGACATAGGCATGGGCAAAGATTTTATGATGAAATCGCCAAAAGCAATTGCAACAAAAGCTAAAAGTGACATATGGGATCTAATTAAAGTAAAGAGCTTCTGCAGAGCAAAAGAAACTATCATCAGAGTGAACAGACAACCTACAGAATGGGAGAAAATTTTTGCAATCTACCCATCTGACAAAGGTCTAATATCCAGAATTTACAAAGAACTTAAACAAATTTACAAGAAAAAAACAAACAACCCCATCAAAAAGTGGGCAAAGAATATGAACAGACACTTATCAAAAGACGACATTTACACGGCTGACAAACATGAAAATAAGCTCAACATCACTGATCATCAGAGAAATGCAAATCAAAACCACAATGAGGTACCATCTCATGCCAGTCAGAATGGCGATTATTAAAAAGTCAAGAAACAACAAATGCTGGCGAGGCTATGGAGAAATACAAATGCTTTTATATTGCTAGTGGGAGCGTAAATTAGTTCAACCATTGTTGAAGACAGTGTGGCAATTACTCAAGGATCTAGAACCAGCAATACCATTTGACCCAGCAATTCCATTACTCGGTATATACCCAACGGAATATAAATCACTGTGTTATAAACATGCAGGCACACATATGTTTACTGCAACACTATTCACAATACAAAAGACATGGAACCAACCCAAATGTCCATTAATGATAGACTGGATAAAGAAAATGTGGTACATATACACCATGGAATACTATGCAGCCACAAAAAGGAATGAGATCATGTCCTCTGCAGGAACATGGATGAAGCTGGAAGCCATCATCCTCAGTAAACTAACACAGGAACACAGAAAACCAAACACCACATGTTCTCATGCATAAGTGGGAGTTGAATAACGAGAACACATAAACACAGGGCGGGGAACAACACACACTGGGCAGGGGCAAGGGGAGAGAGAGCATCAGGACAAACAGCTAATGCATGTGGGGCTTAAAACCTAGATGACAGGTTGATAGGTGCAGGAAACCACCATGGCACACGTATACCTATGTAACAAACCTACACATTCTGTACATGTATCCTGGTACTTAAAGTAAAAAAAAAATTTTTTAAAGAAAAATATTTTCTCTCAAAAGAAACTGTTGCGTACCTGGATTACCTCATTTAAACAAACCAAAATGCCTTTGAGAAAATTATTATTAGCCCTATTTTACAAATGAGGAAATCTGTAAAGTTCAGTAAGGTTATATAGCTTCCCCAATGTCACAGAAACCAAAGCAGATATGGGACTAGATTTGGGTCCATCGACTCAGAATCTCATTTGTTCAAGATACCACCCTGCACTTCCTAGTTGCCCCCTGTAGTTTCTGTGGGTTTAACAAAAGCAAGGGCTATACAAAGAACTGTTTTGCTTCTTTTGTAAAACTTTGGCTGAAATAGTTGTCAATAACTTACATTACTCAGTATTTTGTTCATAAGATTCCAGAAGCCAAATTTTCTCTTAGATTCTAGTGCCAAAACAAGTTACTTTCCTAAAAATAAATCATATTCAACCATTTGTTCACTTGTGCTAAAAACTGTGATGGAGACAAACGTGGATCCATATGGTTTCTACTCTAAAGTAGTTTATAAGGGCCGGGCGTGATGGCTTACGCCTATAATCCCAGCACTGTGGAAGGCCAAGGCAGGAGGATCGCTTGAGTCCAGGAGTTCAAGATCAGCCTGGGCAACATAGTAAAACCCCATCTCTACAAAAAAATTTAAAAATTAGCTGGGCATGGTGGCTCACAACTGAGTCCTAGCTACTGGGGAGACTGAGGCAGGAGGATCACTTGAGCCCAAGAGGTGGAGGTTACAGTAAGCTCCACCTGGGCAACAGAGCAAGACCCTGCCTCTAAAAACAAACAAAAAAGTTTACAGAGATAATACATGTGTATTTAAATAGCCATGATTTAAGGTTAAAAGTAATGTGCTTCTCTTTAATTAAACAAACAATTAAAACAAACAATTCATTATGTTTCCCTTTGGTTTTAACTGCCAAAGCTGAGAGCTAAATTTAATATCTAAATACAATAATCATTTTACCTCAGGTTCCTAGAAGAGGTAACCTCACTTGACTGTTTACCCTTTAACTTTATCTTCAGCTGTCCTACTATTGTACATGCATGTTATCCCAATCTATCTCAAATCCTTTTGTGGAAGCAGACAAGGTACATAATAGAAACAAACAAATAAAAAGGTCTGGATTGATAATACAAACTGAATCCAAAGAATGTAAACTTTTTTATTGCACACTGTGCTATCTTTATTTTTATGCATTATATCAGAGACATTCTGAGTTGCTTAGAGGATCAAATAAGTCAGTATGCTAAATGTACTCTAAAAAATGGGATTCAAGAAACACTTGTGAATAGAAGCTCTATTTCTACTCTCTATTTTCCATAGACATTATACAAGCTCTTAAAACCCACATTGGATTTACATTTAGGATGCGTAAGTTGAGAAAATGGGGTATGGCTGGATAAGTGGTGTCTTCAAAGCCCAGTGCAATGCAGATAATATGAGTTTTGTATAGCTTCTTTGTTTCTATAGCTTTGGGGGAGGTGGTAAAGAGCACTAGATTAACAAAAGTGGTGGCTTAGAAGCCCTACCATTACTCTGCCCTTTTCACATCCTGTGCATGGTAATTTGCTAGTGCCTCTGCAATGGTATCTGCCACATCTTTAAGTGCCCTAGGATGCATGTCATTGGGCCCTGCTATTTAAACATATTCACTTCTTAAAGTAACTCTGGACCACTGGATTCTCCAGTCAGATTTTGCTTCCCATTCAGATTTTCTACACAAAAAGTGATCTTGTGTTTTTGATGAACACAAATAAAATAGCATAGAAAACCTTTAAAATATATTATTACTTTCCTCCTCAATAAAGCTCTAATATTTTTGTTTTCTAATACTTGCAATAAAACAGCTCCTTAGCCGTACAAGCAGGATCTGTTCTTCAGATATGGAAAACCAGAATATTATAATATGCTGACAATAAAGGAAGAAAAGAATGAGAAGGTGGAAGGGCACATATACATATTACTTTTTGTCTCTTTTTCTCTTTGATCCTTTTCTTCTCACTTCAAGTCAAGGAATGGCTAGGAAGCCACTGTAATACAAAAATAATATGGCATTAAAAAGACAATGGATTGAACTGGCCCTTTTCAATCACTAACAAGCTGTAAGACCTGAACAAGTAAATCTCTCTGGATCGTTTTTTAACCTATAAAATAAATAAATTAAACTAGACTCTCACTAATATCTTCTTCATTTAAAAAATTCAATGAATTCAAAACAAAAGTTACAAGAGCATGCAATGATACCCTTGTCTCCCATAGCCCCTGTTACACAGGAGAGTTTCTACCCATTAGTGCTCTCCCTCCACTGTCCTTCCCTCACACTCAAAATTAAAATTCCTATTCACAATCTGATTAAGTCACACAAAGTGTGATGAAGACTTAACATTACAGAACATTTTCATTTTAAAAAAGACCAGTTAAAACACATGCATTTCTAATGAACAGTAGGTATGAGTCACAGGGGAAGGGAAGAAAAGATAAGCATCTTTAAGCAGAGAGCCTTTCAATGGTTCATATTTCTGGTCTACTCCTGTTCCTCAATTACACTTCCAACTCTATTTTCCACAAAGCATAATTTACAGACAGCTATAAACACCCTCAAATTTCTTATTTGACTCTTCACTCTCTTTTTATGAATTGGCTCCCGCTTCTACCCTCACCACCAAGGCTTCTAGGAGGCAGAAAAGCCAGTATTGCAGGACTCAACAGTTGCACATCAGCCATACTTTCCCCATTTTAGGACTTTAATAAACACACATACATAAAATCACTGGAAGAAAAATGGAAAAAGAAAGCACATGGAGTTGGACATGATGGTGATGGAGAACAGCTGGGATTATAGCTTTTTAAGATTTGTTATGGGTAAGGAATATGAGGAAAACAATGAAAAGTCATAAATGAAGGGGAAAACTTGGTGTCAGCTCTAATTAAAGCAACAGGAAACATGGAAATTAAGCACAAAATGAGGCCTGAATACAGCCAAGAGCTTATGTTTTGTTTTCGGGTTTGTTTTTATTTTTTAATGATACACAGTGAAGAGTGAAAAAAGGAGGAGAGTTGAAAGATAATAAAAAAAGGAAGTGAACATGGAGAAGAAAACAGAAAAAGATAACAAAGAGAGAGGAAATTAGAAAAACAAAGTAACAGAGAAAACACAAAGGATTAAGAATAGGAAGAATAAAAGAACGTGTAACCCAATCAAAAGAGAGAATATAAAGCATTTAATAATGGTGGCGCACAAATGGGAAGGCAAAAATGGGAGCAGAGCGCGGTAAGAAAAAGAAACAGTCCTGGCACAGTGGCTCACGCCTGTAATCCCAGCACTTTGGGAGGCCGAGGCAGGTGGATCACCTGAAGTCAGGAGTTTGAGACCAGCCTGGCCAACACCGTGAAACCCCGTCTCTACTAAAAATACAAAAAATTAGCCGGGCGTGGTGGCGGGTGCCTGTAGTCCCAGCTACTGGGAGGCTGAGGCAGGAGAATGGCGTGAACCCAGGAGGTGGAGCTTGCAGTGAGCCGAGATCGCGCCACTGCACTCCAGCCTGGACAACAGAGAGAAAAGGAGAAAGAAAGAAAGAAAGACAGAAAGAAAGACAGACAGAAAGACAGACAGACAGAGAGAAAGACAGACAGACAGACAGACAGAAAAAGAAACAGTAGGGCTGGGCACGGTGGCTCACGCCTGTAATCCCAGCACTTTGGGAGGCCGAGGCAGGTGGATCACCTGAAGTCAGGAGTTCGAGACCAGCCTGGCCAACATAGTGAAACCCTGTGTCTAGTAAAATTACAAAAAATTAACTGGGCGTGGTGGTGTATGCCTATAATCCCAGCTACTCGGGAGGCTGAGGCAGGAGAATCGCTTGAACCCAGGAGGTGGAGGTTGCAGCGAGCTGAGATCGCACCATTGCACTCCAGCCTGGGCAACAAGAGTGAAGCTCCGTCTCAAGAAAAAAAAAAAAAAAAAAGAAGAAAGAAAAGAAAAAAGAAAAAGAAACAGTAGAAACCAAGAATGACAGAACAGCAAAGACAAGAATTAGAGAAATCAGAGCCAGCTAGGCTACAAACTAGCAGCTTGTGTCTTTTTCTTTTGCTGTTTGTTCTTTTAAACAGGAAAACAAAGTGGCAGGAGAGCATGATGAAAAATAGTATCATCTGGGGCATGTTTTCATTGGCCATTTAAATTACTATGGGAAACAGAACCCCAAAAAGAGAATACAGGTGGGGAGGAGGGTGTGGCAAATGTGTCAAAAATAGGAAGCAATAGAAAAGGAGCTCAGTGGGTAGAAGGCTAAAAGATACAGGTGGTAAGCAGTCTGTTTCAGACTACTTTAGCACACATTAGGCAAAAGAATTTCAAAGAGCAAGGAAAATATGACAAACACACCAAGGGTCAATCATCAATTAATTCAATGCAAAAAAGGTATTGAACACGAGTCTTTGATGCCTCTTCCTTCACTCTACCACCTATCCTATCTAACCAAACCCAGGTTTTACTCAGTTCTTTCTTACTAATCTTTCAAATTTATCTCCTCCTCTACCTCTTCCCTAAGATACTGTACTAGAGACTGCAGAATATACACAAGTTTGAGGGAGCAAGCTCTATCATTAGGACCTCCCACTTGAACAGAGGAGGCAAAGACAACATAAGTATGCCAACTGAATTCTTTCTCTTTTGGCACCTAACACTTTCCACTTTGTATTATCTTAATTCCTCATAGACTCTAGATCTTTAAAAATGAGGAAGACTAAAATAGACAGACGGGTGAGCACTCCAGGGCAAAAGTGACCACAAAGTAGGCTCAGAGGAAGGGATAACAGCAAGTTGTTCTGTGACAAAGAGAAGATGTGATCGGCTGGACAAATGAAGACAGAGACCACTAGGCTGATACACTGAGTTTGATATGAAATGTTAATTACCATTAAAACTTTTTTATTGAGGCATGATCAAATCTGTAGTTTACAAAGATTACTCTGGTTGTAACATTCTGGGAGAAAATAAAATTATTCAGTCTGAGAAAGACTCCATAGAACAAGTGATATTTTAGCTGGGTCTATTCATCTCACAGGATGAATAGAAGCTTTTTTGAGGAAGGGCTCTGCAGAATGATGAAATAAAATGAAAAAAGATATGAAAACATAACAGGGCACCACAGATTCTAGGACAAGTAAGAGGGCCAGAGTGGTTGGAAAACAGGTTATTTAGAGAAAGAGGTATCAGATTTGAAAGACAGGCTTAGGCTTTGTTATGAGGAACACTACAGTTTCCCATTTAATTACAAATTTTGTCATTTTATAAGATGGGAAATTCCCCTTTTTCCTTATAGACAGTCATAACATCAAGTGATGGGTGATTCAACAATTATTCATGATGACAGTGCCAACATCCCTGCTCATATATTAAATGAGACACTACCTGAAGTAGATAAAGTATCCACAATTTCACTTCAGAATATTTGGCTGCTATGCCAAAGAGACAACCACTTATAGTTGTCACTGGCCCAGATCTCACAGATCAGATTTCGGAAACTTTTTTTTTTTAACAAAACATCAAATCCAGAATAGTGCAATTGCTGTTTTGACTTTCGAAACAGAGAGGACTCCTGCATAGGAAATAAAAGCCAGGACATTCATTTACAGGATGGATTGTTTTACATTCTTACATTAGATCAAATAACTGAATTATTCTGGGTACTGCACACTTAATGACAAATCTACATCTCTGAAATCATAACACTGAGACTGGCATTTTCGTTTCCAAAATAAAAAACAGTTCACTGTGCCTTTCCTTCCAGACTGCACCCCATCACTCATCATCACAAGCTAGCATCAAGTGCTTTAAATAACAACATTTTCAATAAATGTGAACTCGGTTCTTTTTATACTTTGTTATAACTTCCTGTGTCTTTGACATATTCAAGAAGTGAAACTCATGCATAGCATGTTTATATTATTCCCTCCTTAGCAAAAGCTCACAGACAATGTCAGGTCTGGAGAGATAAGAGCTGCTTCCAGGACATGAATTCTCATGAGGATTAGGCAACCACCATCTGGGGCTCCAGAGTTTATCTGTAGCAGCTGCCTTCAAAGTATCACACTAGAGGCTGGGGGTGGGGGGAAGTCTAATTTTAAAGTGTTTAACAAGTTCCTCTACCTTGGCTTTGATTATCATTCTGGATTGTTTTTTCCACCTTATAAAAATAAAACATAGTGACCTTTTCTTCATAACACACAAATAACTTAAAACAGCACTATGTATTCAAATGATGAACTCAACACATACTCAAATGTTTAATACGTTACAATATATAACAGAATTTTTAATAATAATTTTAATAATGACTAAAATACTACCCAGTACCTAATGTTGTCATTAATACAAGAGCTTTATCCTTCACACAAAAAAGTGTATCCCCCAATTTTTTTAATTTCTACTGAGAAGGCTACAGATTAAAACAATATCCTAGATATTTTGGGAGGGTTTTTTAAATGTCCTCAAACGACATTAAAATAATCATAACACAATTTTATTAAACAGAAAGCTTTTTAATCAAATATTTATATAAAAACAGGAAATTCAAAAATGAACACAGGGCAAAAAGTTAATTTTAAATGCTCAGCTTTAAATAATAATCTGCTAAATCTGATTACTACATTAAGTTTTATAGTGCTAAAAATGGTCACTATGTAACAAAGCTAGATAGCAAAGAAAAACAAAATAGAAAAATCAAACAAAATAATCTCTATAAAGAATAGGTTCTACTATAATAAGTCCCAAAATCGCTGCACCACTAAAAATAATGCCTTTTTCTTTGCATCAGGTCTCCTTCCATTTAAAATATTCTTCTTTACCTGCCATAAAAATCATGTTATATTTGTTCATTTGAACAACCTGTGACAAAGGACGTACTATTAAAATTAACTAGACAAAATTATTGTTAGTTCCATCAGAGATCTGGCAAAGTGGCTGCATCTACAGATAAAGTTTCACTATAATAAACAGCTTTTTAAAGAACAGTTCACTCTCTTTCATTGTTCATCCAAAATACATAGCAAGCCTATTGTTGTACTGGACAGAGTGACCCAGAGAAACAAAAGGCAGAGGTTTGAGTGTGTCAAAATCATAAAACTGGCACATTATTTGATTCCTGGGATTTTCTTTCCATGCCCAAATATTTATATATATTTATATATCTGGGCCTGACACAAACATTCTAGTCTTATTTTTTGAAGTACCCTCATAATTCCTTCACCAAAATCAAATGCAGAAAATTCAAACTCTACACATCTAAAACTAAAGTGGACTGGGCCCTTCCTTTCAACTTCCCTATTGCTATCAGTAGTTGAATTATTTTAAAAAATCACACAAACTTACAATCTCTCTTCTCTCCATTAACATTTTTATCAAGTCATTAAATCGTGGTGACTCTAATTTCAAAATTATTTTGGCAATATTTTATTTACTTGCAGTAGTACCATTACCAACCTAGTATAAGTTACTCCTCAGAATTTGGACTAAATTATGAGCTTTGTAGGTAGTGTCTCTTCCAGCTAATTCGCATTAAATCACTACTACATTAAGTCTTCACTACATTAAATATGCCTCCCAAAACAATTTGCTCAAACTGTTCTCCCTATCTATTCTTCTGGTTTACAATGCCTTTCCCTTCCTCGACATATTTAAGTTCCCCCTTTACCAGATTCTCCAGGATTCACAAGCAATTGTTTCCTTTTCCATGCCACATTTCATATTCACCCCAGGATAGTCATCTTCCCACTCATTAAACTGCTACATTAGACGCAAAACACATTGGTTTGCATGACCACATCACAAACATTGCTAATGAGCAGCATTTTTCATATATCTAAAGGAGATGAGAAGAAAATAAACAAAAAAAACTTTATTTTGTAGTTTCTTCTGCAACGTCCCTAGTGGCTAAATAACAGTTATTTGCTGAATTAAACTTATCAACAATATGATTTAGGCATTTAGGTGTGCAAAGGGATGCACTTATAAGGGATCTGCTGTTACAAAAAATATGAGAATCTGGCTGGACGCGGTGGCTTACGTCTGTAATCCCAGCACTTTGGGAGGCTGAGGTGGGCGGATCTCCTGAGGTCAGGAGTTCAAGACCAGCCTTGCTAACATGGTAAAACCCCGTCTTCACTGAAAATACAAAAATTAGCCAGGTGTGGTGGTGCACGCCTGTAATCCTAGCTACTAGGGAGGCTGAGGCATGAGAATAGCTTGAACCCGGGTGGTGGAGGTTGCAGTGAGCCGAGATCACACCACTGCACTCTAGCCTGGGCAATAGAGTGAGACCCCATCTCAAAAAAAAAAAAAAAAAGAAAAAAGAGAATCCAAGAAATCTGAGTTCTTGTTCTGCTATACCCACCTGAGAGTAAGCAGTGACAATGATCTCAACAACATACAAAGACATCCTTTGGATAGAGAATTTGTATATATAATAACTGTTTGTAATATCAGCTATTCTTTGACAACAGGATTTTTCTCTTAAATTCCTTCTATTTGTTAGAGATTCAATTTGTCACCCAAGCTGTGGATTTATAGGATTTACATCCTTAAAACGAATTCCAGCATAATTTCACACAGAAGCCTTCCTGAAGTTAACCAGGACAACACCCAAATAAATCTTCCCTTTAAAAAGAATAAATGCTCCATGAAAATCATCAATACATCACTTAAGCTTAAGGCACAATATCTGTGCAACACCAAGCTCTATCCCAATCCTCCCAGTGCCACTAGAGTCTGTCTTAACCCCACACACTCTCTATTATCTGTTCAGACATGTTTTCCCAGTACCATTACTCCAAATAATTCCATTCCCTATACTAAATACACTGCTTCATCCTGCTTGATTCTCTACCTATATTATCTAACAGTCTTGCTCTTGAGTTGCAAGGCCGTTGCTACTTAACTCTACATTGACCTACCACTTACGATATGTAAGTAAGCTCTAAAGTCTCTTATAGGACCTCTGTATCATCTCTTAAATCACCAGGAATCAAGTACTCCAATTTGAGTTTTAACCATTATCTAATTTTCTATTAAAAATGCTAACTCAAAAAGAGAAATATTCTTTAATATATTAAAGGCCACTATCCTAGCATAGCAAGTACCCAATTTTTTAGAGTTTGTCTTCAATATATCCACATTTGTATGAAAACTTCACCCTAACTACAAAATTGGTCAGAGTGCTTAATTGTGTGGGATAGGCAAGTTAAGTGCCAGAGAGGAGTTCAAAGAACATCAGCAATGTCTGAGTTTGAGTGTGAACCTGAAAATCATAATGAAAACGCTGTAAGAGGGAAAGGGATGAGGCATTCAAATAATAATTTTAAAGATGAGGATATCAGGTTACAAGGGTCACACAGGACAAGCTTCATGGAGGAGATGAGACTTCAGGTGACTGATGGATTTGCACTGATTAGGAAAGAGGGAGAAAGAAATTCCTGAAGGCGGACAAATTTTTCCTTGGTAGATATGTGCCCAGCTTTTGTAGTAAGAGCAGGGCAGGATTACCACCTCATTCCTTGCTGAGGATAGAAACTGCATATAAACTGCATTAATTGGTAGCTCATATAAAATTGTACATGAAACAGCAGAAAATCCAACAACATAAACAGGCTATTATTAACACAATTTTTTTTTTTTAAAAGGCTACTAGATTTTTCTCCAGGCTGTAGAACCTGCCAGACTGTAGTACAGTGGCAGGCAACTTACATCCCTTGGAAAAGTTACTTTTGTGTGATCATCTAAACTAACAATTTTAAAGAATGTTTTATACAAAATATGGGATAATTATTGGTCTGAGACAGAAATAAGACTTTCTGAACATCTTTCTTTGGCCTGCTAGATGTCAAAATGCAGTAAAATTTCCTATTGTAGGAGAATTTTAGTTAATAAAAGTAATTTTATTCCAATGTCTGATTTACACAGTACAAAAGTGTACTAATAACCGTCAGAAATTTTTAAAGCTACAATACCCTTCTGAAGCCACCCTAATAATTGCTTATTAAAACACTTTCTGTTAAAATGTTAAAGTTATTGATTTTTTTTAAATTTCAGCAATACAAAGATGTAGCTTTCAATTCATGTTCAAACATAAAATAACTGAATTGAAAAACAATTTCACTTTCATTGAAATCAAGTCAATGGCTCATTATTCAAAAGCATATGTTCATCAATACAAATAAACTTTCATTTCTATTTGAGGTTAAAATCCTAAAATAGCCCCAAAGTTGCACCACAATTCAGCTGCTATGGAAAGCTAAGTAGTGCTTCCCATGACTAAATGGATTAATTCTTTAGCCCAAACACAATTACTGTTCTCCACACTGTTCCATTGAACATCTAAATAAGCATCCCAAAGCTTATTTCATTCAAAGAAAAGATCCAGACTAAAGAATAATCCCAATGTATGAAGTTTACATTTTGTGTAAAGTTTTTTTAAAAAGGGAAAAATCTATAAGTGGTAATCAGGAAAAGACATGAGTCATTGTAGACAGGTGTTGGGGATGACATCTATCGACTAATAGATATCTTTGTTGAAGGACTGCCGTACAGATTCCAGTAGATGTCTTTTTCTCAAACCAATTTTTCTGACTTAGTTATTGAATCTAGACTTTTCCATAGGTGACACACACATTAACAGCAAAAAGAATAACTCTTCAAGAAATAGCCAATTACATGGAAAGATATTTCTTCTGGTCCTTTTCTTGCTTTAAAATTTTTCAACTTCAACCATGTATGAAAAGTGCTGTCTTACAATCATGTTTACTGAACATTTTATTCTTCCATATATTTCTACATTTCAAAAATCTCCTGTAATACACACCTGATCTAAAGAAGAAAATATGGAGAGGTCAGGGAATAGGAATGAGGGCAATGAGCTATACTGAAATAATTCAATATGGCTCAAAGGGTAAAATGAAAGAAAAATAATAGTTACTAATTTCAGATCAGGATTCTCTGACAATAACAAGTTATCTGATTATGAGATGGGCTGCCTTATTAACACTTGCTGTTACTGAGATGTTTACAAAGAAACTAGGTAACCATGTCCACTATGTTGGAGAAAAAATTCCTATATGAGAGAAACTGGACTACATAACCCTATAGACTTTCTTCTGACTCTTAATACTGGTCATTCAATTTCCACTCCTTTTTAACTAAAGTTCTGAAATGGTAGCTCTTTTTCCACCTGTTTAATGCCCCTTGGGAGACCACTACTGTCAAATTATCATTGCAACATTAGTTGCTAGAAAGAGAATTTTTAGCTCTTTATAACACTTTTGCATTTAACTAAAGGATTATTTGCTGTTAGGCGGTTTTCTACAGCTCTGCCCCCAAAGGACTTTCACAAACAATGCAAATGCATTTTCACAAGATGGAGCAATTTAGCTTTGGTCTTTTAATGAAGGCTGAATTAATGGCAAGGCTTCCTTGCATTGTTGTAAACTAGACTGCTACAAAGAGCAGGTGAAATGGTTTTCTTCCTTTGGGCAGAAATGAAAATAAACTGTAAAATTCCTACCCAGTTTTGATTCATGTTTGCGTTCATTAACAGAGGGTTAAACAGCCTGAACCTTACCTTTAGCAACTGCAGGTATAATCGGATTAATTTAAATGGTTATTAATGCCCTTTGGAATTCTAATTAGCCAGGGGGACAGCTGATGCAGACAGCCTTCGGGGGTGGGGATTAGTCTCTCAATCAGAGTTCAAACTCTCAGAGCAGCACCCCTACATAAATCCTATCCACCATTTTAGTGGGGTGGGAGTAGGGGACATGGAGAGTAGGGGTGAAGAATCTAAAATAAAGAAATACAGTGTAAAAAACAAAAAGTACAAAAAGGTAAGAAATATAAAAGAGAAAGGAGAAAAAATATGACAAAAAATGTTCAATATACTTTCAAAACAATATACTGGTGATTAAAAAGAAGAGAAACCTAATGCACTTCAAATAAGTACAACAAACAAAAAGAAACTTCCTAGAAAATGGTTATTAGATCTTTGGCCTAGAATCTTATGACAAATTAGAAAAGACATAAAACTAAGGTAAAATTACTTTTTCCATAGGCAAAAATTTAATTATCCTGCTTCTCTGAGGCAGCAAAAGTTGCAATAGCTTCAAGTGCCCAAAATGTTTTACTAAATTTGCACATTTAGTTGCACCCATAAAAGGTGTACCCTGAAACGGGACAGTTTCCTTGTGTGGGTTCTAATGCATGTATTCTTTTTTTTTTTTTTTGAGACGGAGTTTTGCTCTTGATGCCCAGGCTGGAGTGCAATGGCGCGATCTCGGCTCACCGCAACCTCCGCCTCCCGGGTTCAAGCAATTCTCCCACCTCAGCCACCCAAGTAGCTGGGATTACAGGCAAGCACCACCACGCCCAGCTAATTTGGTATTTTTTTTTAGTAGAGACAGGGTTTTTCCATGTTGGTCAGGCTGGTCTCGAACTCCTGACTTCAGGTGATCCACCCGCCTCAGCCTCCCAAAGTGCTGGGATTTACAGGCGTGAGCCACCGTGCCCAGCCTAATGCATGTATTCTTAAACAACATGAAGCATAAAACAAAGAATATGGGGAAACCCATACATTAGAGTTACAATTGTTTCTTACGTTTTAACATTTTTGTTGATTTCCAAATATACCAGGAGTTCCAATTCCAAGTAAGATGGAATAAGCACACACTACCTTGTCTTTTCCACTGAATCCAGAAAACCTGGATGATGCATAAAGCAGCTAGTTAAGGCAGACTGGGGAATAAAATAAGAATTCATATTAATATCAAACAGATGATTTAGTATTTTTCCCCCTTTAGTATCTCCTGCCCTAGACTCAAAGCAGCTGAAATCTGGAAGCAGGCACTCAGGGATAGACAAAGAGAACTCCAGGAGAAGCCTCTAGTTCTAGCTTGAGGAGCAGGAACAGAATCTCCTAATACTTAGATAGAATGAAGAAAATTCCCTAGGCATTTTTTTTATTCTTTTCAACATCCTCCATACCCAGCCCCTGAGCAAACAAGATGGTGGTGGAAGCAGTGACAGCAGCAGCAGTGGGGTCTGCAGAAGTCTAAAACTCTGAGGGAACAAACCTTCATCATCAAGAGGGTAGCAAGAATTCTTTTTGCTTATTTTTTTCTCTGTCTTCTTGCTACTTGGCCCCAGTATGGGCACAGCTGCAAGAAATGTGCAGCAGAAGAGAGTAACTAAAGCAAGCTCCAGCTCTGTAGCTGGAAGTATAAAGAGGGGAGGATTAGGCAACCAAAAAGTACCAGAGAGATTATGAAGAAGGAGAAGCATAGGAAAGTGGCCCCATGAAGTTTGTGCTCACCCTTCCAAACTATGCCTGCATAAGGTTGATCCTAAAATAACATACCACAGACTCTGAGAGCTAAACTATGGAGTAGACAACTACTCAGTTCCCAGACAGTCCAATGTTTGGCACACACACTGGACAGTTCTGAGTAAGACTGCAAAGGTTTTGTAAAGGAAACTGGCATTGGAACTACAGCCTACAGAAGGCTGTTTAGAACTTTCAACCTGAATGAACCCAACCAAATTGCCTATTAAAAAAAAAAATCAGCTGGGCGTGGTGGCTCATGCCTGTAATCCCAGCACTTTGGGAGGCCAAGGCAGGCAGATCACCTGAGGTCAGGAGTTCGAGACCAGCCTGGTCAACATGGTGAAACCGCGTCTCTACTAAAAATAGAAAAAATTAGCTGGGTGTGGTAGTGTGCACCTGTAATCCTAGCTACTTGGGAGACTGACGCAGGAGAATCGCTTGAGCCCAGGAAGCAGAGGTTGCAGTGAGCCGAGACCACGCTGTTGCACTCCAGCCTGGGCAACAAGTGCAAAACTCAGTCTCAGCGGGGGAAAAGAATTCAACATTCATCACAGCATTAAACCAAGACAAAAGGTCTCAAAATATGACACTTAAATTGTCCAGGATACAGCCCAAAATAATTTGACAAATGAAGAATCAGGAAAACCTCAATGAGAAAAAAACAACAGATGCCAACACTGAAATAATGCAGATGATGGATTTATCTGACCAAGACTTTAAAGCCACTATTATAAAAATGTTCCAACAAGGGCAAACACTCTTGGATGAACAAAGATGGAAAGCCACCTCAAAAAATAGAAGATATAAAGAAAAATCAAATGCAAAATTTAGAAACTGAAAAATATAATAACCAAAATGAAAATCTCATTAGACAGGCTAGATAGCTGACAGATTTATAGAAAATATTAAATCTGAGAGATGGGAAAAAAATGAAGAAAGGAAGGAGTGGGGAGAGGGGAGGAGATGGGAGGAGAGAGGGGAGGGGAGGGGAGAGGGGAGGAGAGAAGGGAGGGGCGAGGGGAGAAGGGAGGGGGAGGGGAGAGGAGAAGGGAGAGGAGGGGGAAAGAGAAGGGGAGGGGAGAGGGAAGAGGGGAGGAGAGGGGAGGGGAAGGGGAGGGGAGGGAGGGGGAAGGGAGGGGTGAGGAAGAGAGGGGGAGGGGAAAGGAGGGAGGGGGAAGAGAGGGGTGAGGAAGGGGAGGGGTGAGGAAGGGAGGGGGAGGGGTGGGGGAAGGGAGGGGAGGTGAGATAGGGGAGGAGAGGGAGGGGAGGGGAGGAAGGGGAGGGGGAGGGGAAAGGAGGGGGAGGGGCGGGGGAAGGGAAGGGAGGTGAGATGGGGAGGGTAGGGGAGGTGAGGGGGGAGGGTAGGGGGAGGTGAGGGGGGAGGGTAATAAGGAGGGGTGGGGAGAGGGGGGAGGGGGAAGGAAGGGGGGAGGGGTAGGGGGAGAGAAGATGAGAGGAGAGACCAACCTCAGGGGCTGGGCATGGTGTCTCACACCTAATTCCAGCACTCTGGGAGGCTGAGGTGGGAGGATCACTTGAGCCCAGGAGTTCGAGACCAGACTGGGGCAACATAGTGAAATCTTGGCACTATAAAAAATAAGATAAAAAAAATTAGTCAGGCATGATGGCACACATCTGTAGTTCCAGCTATTCTGAAGGTGGAGGCAGGAGGATTGCTTGAGCCAATTTTGAGGCAGCAGTGAGTTGTGATCACACCACTGCACTTCACGCTGGGAGACAGAATGAGACCCTGTCTCTTAAAACAAAAAAATAAAAATAAAAATAAAAAACCTCAAGGACTTACAGGACAATAGTTATCAAGAGGTCTAATATTCATTTCCTCAAGTTCCAGAAGGGAAGAAGAGTATAGTGGAGAAAGAAAAAGCATTTGAGTAAATAATGGCTGAAAACTCAAATTTTCAAATTCTTAAGTTTCACTTGCATTACTCACAAAGTAACAAAATTAGAATAACTGAGAATTTGTCATCGGAAACCACAGAGGACAAAAGGAAGTAGGATAGTATTTTTAAGTTCTAACAGAAAAGACCTTTTAACCCAGCACAGTCGGGCCTTCATACCCATGGGTTCCACAACAGTGGATTCAACCAACCCTGTATCGAAAATTTAAAAAAAAAAAAATTGCATCTGTACTGAACACCCAACACAAAACAGGGCAAAAAGACTTCATAAAACTGCCATTTGCATCTTTTAATGAAGGGTAATTCTGTGAATTCTGTGAGAAATCAGATATCCACAGATCTTTAATGGCACTGCCACTTTGCTCATTTTATTCCATTTATCTTCCCATCTCCCGAAGTAGAAACAATAATATCAAACAGCTTAAAAGTACCTACCTGTGCATGATACTGTCAAGACAAGGGGTCCCCAAACTCTGGGGAACAATCAGTACCAGTTCGTGGCCTGTTAGGAACTGGGCCACACAGCAGGAGGTGAGCAGCCGGCAGGCTAGTCAGAATTAGAGCCTGAGCTCCGCCTCCTGTCAAATCAGCTGCTGCATTAGATTCTCATAGGAGCATGAACCCTATTGTGAACTGCACATGCGAGGGATCTAGGTTGTATGCTCCTTATGATAATCTAATGTCTGATGATCTGAGGTGGAACAGTTTCATCTCGAAACTATCCCCCGACCCCTGTCCATGGAAAAATTTTCTTCCATGAAACTGGTCCTTGGTGTCAAAAAGGTTTGGGACTGCTAGTCAAGACCACAGTTGAAAAGATGTATTATTTGCCCTTTAGAAGCTTACAATCTAAACTATCCAAATCCAACATAAAGGAAGTAATAATGGCTTAAAATAAACAAAATACACTGAGCAATAATTTAAAGACTCAACTAAAATACACATTTTATGCCAGTAAAATATCAATGTATTTGTTATACACAAAGAAAAAAGCAGTGAAGAAGTTTCATCAATCCATTGTTTTTACTTATTTTAGAATGACAAGATATTCGTGACAGAAAAATACACTTGCCTTTTAAAGTCAAAGCACCTATCAAGTGCCAAATTAGAAGAGATTGTTTCATTTTATAAATCGCAGTTAGGTTACAGAGTAGGTGCAAATTCAGATACACAGAAACAAATTCTTTGAAAAAGTGCCAAAATCATCCCCCATGTATTAATTAAAACCTAACCATAGAAATGAATCATTCCATCTTTAATTCATCTTGTTAGTTCATAAAGATTTTATTCTTGGCCTGCAAGGAAAAAAAAATATTTGAATCTGTAAATATTCTAAGAGTATAATTTTCTTTATTTTTAGGAAAGTACATGATACTCAGCAATACTAATGCATTCTTAAAATGCAAGCAAACTTCAGTTACTGCCAACTGTCCTTGATGTGTTTGTAACACCCTAAAGATTAAACAGTATAATGTCATAAATCCTATTACAGTATATAATCTCTAAATTACATTCAAGGGGATAAAAATATACAGCATATTAATGAACTTTACATTTTCATAACACCCTTTACACTGAATGTGAGAATCTTGTTACTTTGGATAAAAGTTTATGAAAATCCATCTCTCATAGCTATTAAATAAATATATTCTGCTCATCCTTGGAATCAGTTACTCTGAAAATGATGTAGCCTTAGAAGTGGATTAACCTCTTACGTTTCTCTTGCCCCAAATTTCAAGATTTATTTACATGCTATCCACAAATGGTGGGATAGAAAGTAAAAGGAACTAAAAAATAAATAATATTAAACTAAACATAATCATACACTCATGTTTAGAACATGTTTTTAATAATCTGAAAAAATTATAGCAAACTAAGTTTAATAAAACAGATTTTCCACACACCCCCAACCCCACAAAATCCCAGTGTGAGAGTTCAGGTTTACTGAATAATGAGATGGGAAATAATACAATCTCCAAAATATTATGTCCCAGAAAAAAAGTATAACATATGTACTGTATAATGTAAGATGCTTAGCAAATTGGCTGAAATTGTAAAAATAAATAAATAAATAAATAAATAAAATGCATGAATGAACAGATATTCCTGATAGTGCATCAAATAGTGTCCCCTCCCACAAAAACATATCCAAATTCTAACCCCAAGAACTTCTGAATGTGACCTTATTTGGAAACAGGGTCCCTCTAGATATAATTAAGGATCTTGAGGTGAGATTATCCTGAATTTAGAGTGGACCCTGAAACCAATGACAGGTGTCCATAGAAGAAAAAGAAGAAAAAAATTTGAGACCAAAGCCACCTGAAGACAGAGGTAAAGACTGGAGTGATGCAATCACAAGCCAAGGAATGCCTAAGATTACCAGCCACACCAGACACCAGAAAAGAGGCACAGACAGGCCTCCCTCAGAGCTCTACAAGGAACCAAGCTTGCCAACAGACTTCTGGCCTCCAGAACTCTTGAGAGAAGAAATTTCTGCTGTTTTAAGCCATTGAGTTTATGGTAATTTGTTACAGCAGCCCTCAGAAACTAATACATTCCTTTAAGTAGCAAACAAGAACAGTGTACATTTATATGCAAAATAATACATCATCTTATTTATTTAAAGGCTCTAAATTGTAACCTGATATTCACCTTATCATTTAACACCAGATCAAATGGAACACCCAGGAAGACTGCCTAAATGAGTGTCCAAATGATGGTAGATGATCACAACTCCTAAGGGATAGGAGGTGATCACCTATAGTATGTGTACCTAACATAGCAAGAGATCTTTTGCGGACTTTAAAATACAATAAAAAACCATGACTACTTGTAGATGGCACCCACGACCTCTAGAGACTGTTGGCCTGGTGTCTGCCAATTGCCTCCTGAAGTGTAAGCAAATAAAATAATATGTTTAGTTTCGAAGTACGGGTCAAGGGGACAACATGTTAAGGAAAAAAAAAGATCTCAGCAAGTTCCAATAGGCACATCCAGAAATCAGGTAGGTGGAAATCTAAGTTACACTAACATTCCTAGAAACCCACAGGAAATCTAAAAGACATAATAGTCCTCAGGGACTATTGCCATTCTAAAATGTGAATCCTTTTCTTTTCATGACCATTTAGAATGAATTTTAGAACATTCATACGTAAAAACAATGCCTTTCAGAAGTTACAATAGACCTCTCCAAATACTCAAAGAGTTATCCCAAAAACAGTCATGCAAGTGACTACTTCCTAAGAAGTATGCCTGAGCAAACCTATCCCACATGCAGCCTGAACTTCAACAACAACAACAACAACAACAACAACAACAAATCACCAGACAGAGGTTAAAACTTGGGTAATAAAATAGCATTTTATCAGCTGAAAGACAGTCAGATCAATAAATAAAGCTGGAAATCTCTCTCAGGGTATTCGTACTATGTATTTCCTTACTGATACCAAGTACAAAAGAGAAAAATTCCAGAAATAGAGGTGTCAGGGGATTCAGGATAAGAGATCAGGAGAGCAGGAATAGGATCCTGCCAGGCCCCATCAGTAAAACATAGAGCACCTCTTGCTCTCCCAGCTCTGGCATAACTTTTTAAATGCCTTTTTTTTTTTTTTTTTGATGCAAGCCAATAATGGGAATCTAGAAAACTGCCACTAAGGAGTTAAGTAAAACAGGGAATAATTTACTTTATCAATGATCCAAACCAGCCCCTGAATCATCAGATGATATAGACCAAGTTGATTCTTAGATTTCTATCGATTCAGTTAACAACATACACATATTACGTTGCTCCATAACAAAGTATGACACAAAAACAGTAAGGAATTAGCTCAACTAATACTTAACTACAGAAGGCTTCCAAAACGTACAAAATAACACAAACAAGTGTGAATGTCAGCATAATAGATACTGTTGAAAGACTTATTTGAGTATCTCTTCCTGTGGCTAGAAAACACATCTGGAAAAACACACAATTACAATACAAACACAATCCAATAAAAGTCCAACCCCTCTCTACTGTGCAGGGAAAGGAGGGGCTCAAGGCCATAGAAGGAGCTATGCTTGAATTTACAAAACTACCAGATGGCCAAGAGGGGACTAGATCAAGGGTAGAGGGCGGAATAGCATTGTTGTTCAGCGTGTAGACTCTGGAGCAAGAGGAGTTGGGTTCAAATCCTGAGTTTCCCACTTACTTGGGCATATTACTTTATCTCTTTACACCTATTTCTTTATTTATAAATGAGAGATAAAATTCATTGGGGTTGTTGATGTGAGGAGGAAAACAGTGAAAACATGTAAAGTGCTCAGGAAAGTAAAATAAGTAAAATATTTGCTATTAGCATTGAAACTGTACTCATCCATGCCTGGTAAACTGAAGCAAATTAACTGTTAGTTTGAACCATATAAAATGTTTATGTTTGTAGGTCAAAATACTCTGAATATCAACAACGCTATGGTTCAAATGAACATCAAAGAAAGGGCTGTGAAAACAAGTTGCTAAGAATGTCCATGAGGCCCAAAACCTAAAAAGTAATGTACTCACACAGTGGTTCTAAAATATAACTGAAGGAAAAGGATTTCTGCACCAGGCTGAAAACAAATAACATTTCAAATAATAAAGCACACAATTCTGTATGACTGACCTCTCAGGCAACCAATATTTCACACTGGATTGATTTTGAAAGGTGAACTAATATTTTATATTCAAGTACCTATTCTCTCTCCTCTGAGTCACAAAATGAGAGTTCACACAGCTTCAAACGGTATACAATGTACTGTTATGTATTAAATAAAGAGATGTCTAATTTCAAGCACATGAACATTGCATAAGCTACTGCTGATTTATGGTTTTTAATCTAAAAGTGCCAAGAAAACTTTTTAATCAACATAATTTTTGATAGAATATATTTACATTTCATAAATGTTTACATTGATTTTAATATAATTATTTCTATCTTCCTAAATATTTCCTGAAGGATTTCTTTTCTGTTTCTCTCCCCTGACCCTGCTTAGAGTTGGGGGTCTCACTATGGTGCCCAGGCTGAAGTGCAGTGGCTACTCAGATGTACAATCATAGCACACTACAGCCTTGAGCTCCTGGCTTCCAGGGACTTGCCTGCCTCAGCCTGCTGAGTAGCTGGGATTGCAAACATGTGCCCAGCACTAGGCTCACAGAAGGATGTTACTACGATTTAACAATGTATCCACCATGTACCTTAAAGGATGTCATTCTCTCACACTAAAATGAATATACTGAAACCTCAAAAAATAACAACACAATTTCAAGACAGACTGATTTTCCACAAGGCTGTCTTATGTTCCATCTTTGAAATCACTACGACTGGGCCAGGCGCGGTGGCTCATGCCTATAATCCCAGCACTTTGGGAGGCTGAGGTGGACGGATCACTTAAGGTCAGGAGTTTGAGACCAGCCTCACCAATACAAGTGAAACCCCTTATCTACTAAAAATACAAAAATTAGCCAGCCGTGGTGGCGTGTGCCTGTAATCCTGGCTACTCAAGAGGCTGAGGCAAGAGAATGGCTTGAACCTGGGAGGCGGAGGCTGCAGTGAGCCAAGATCGCCTAGGTGACAGAGCGAAACTACATCCAGCCTAGGCAACAGAGCAAGACTACATCTCAAAAAAAAAAAGAAAAAAAGAAAAAAAAATACAACTGTAATCATTAGAAGATATGTAAAAAAATAAGCAAAAATAATGCTAATAGATAAATGTGCCTGTATTATCAACAAAAATTGAAATGCTATTCTTAAGATTTTAAGACAAGACTGACAACTGTAATTTTGTATTTTTTAACAACTCATTAAAAGGCCAGCCTCGAACTTGCAGCCTATTTCCCTGTCAACATTTTCAGTCTTCACAGCATCAGATTACAGCATAAATGTCAAAGAATTAGCAATGACTAGCTCATCTAGTAATAATATCTCTATAAACCAACAATTTATATATTTCAACTCCCTTTTTAAAAACATTGATATAATTCACACACCATAAAAATCATCTGTTTGGGCTGGGCACAGTAGCTCATGCCTGAATCCCAGCACTTTGGGAAGCTGAAGTGGGAGGATGGCTTGAGCCCAGAAGTTTAAGACCAGCCTGGGCGACACAGCAAGACTCCATCTCAAATTTTTTTTAAAAATTTATAAAAATAAAGAAAAATCACCTTTTTGAAATGTGCAAGTATTTTCTAGTACATTCACAAAGTTGTGCAACCATAATCCAGAACATCTTCCATATATCCCACATCCATTACAGTACCTTTCCATTCCCACATTCTCCCAGCTCCTTCCTGTCAGCTACTAATCTACTTCCTGTCTGTATGGATTTGCCCATTTGGACATTTCACGTAAATGGAATCACATATTTTGTGGCCTTTGGTGTCTCATTTCTTTCACTAACGTGTTTTCAAAGCTCAGGTATGTTAAAGCATGAATCTGTACTTCATTCCTTTTTATGACTGAATAATATTCCATTTTAAGAATATACCACATTTTGTATGTCAATTTATCAACTGATGGATATAGCGTTTATTTCCAAGTTTGGTTATTATGAATAATGCTGCTATAAATGTTCTCACCCACTTTTGAGATACATGCAAAAAGTTTTGAAGTCAGTGCAAATCACAGAGCAAAAATCTCTGAAGTCAAACTAAGTGATGAAACAATTTGAAGTAGTCATACCTTCTTCCTTAGGTAAAGGCTGCTCTTCTGAGTTTATTCATTCTACATTAAATATCATCTGGACAAGTGAAACTGAAAAAAAAATCTCATCTACCCTTGCAAACTACAAATAAAAAGGAAGGACAACGAAATAACAAAGAAAGCTACAAAACAATATTCTAAGTTTCTTACACTGAGCTGATCTGCTTCTAAAAAAAAACTACACAAAGTAATTTGTTAAAATAAAATTACAAATTAATAATTAAAGCATAGAACATACCAAATATACTTATACCAAAAATGTATTTTAACAGTTTGAGCTGTTTTCATTAAGCACTATGGCAAAAACTTCTGCTAAATATCAAGGAATAACCTGATGTATTGGAAAACAATCTCCAAATATTTGTTTTATAAATAAAACAATCATATCATCCGAAATGACCAAATCTACTAATTAGAGATTAAATATCTTATATAGTCTCACTTAGAATAAAGTATCCTATATATTTGAGAACAAAAATTAATTTTGTTGATTTGTGATTTGAAGCATTTTGATAAAGAAAATCTCCTCAAATACCTGCCTGAAATAGTTTCAACTCAAATCATACACAATGTGGCCAAAACCCATTACAACTAAAATAAGAGTTTGCAATTTATCAATTCAGTAACAGACAAGCCAATATTTATGTTTGCTTTATAACAAAGGACAACAAAAATGTTACCAAAAGAATGCAAAATTATTCCTCTATAAATAAGTGGCATGTTCAAAATATTCCACCAAAGTAAATACAGCATTCAAAAAGACAAGACGTTTTTTTCAGATTGTGAAACTACAGCAATTTTCAGAAAACAAATAGTGTTTTACTATATACTAAATATACTTTTAAAACCACCAAATTGTACCACTGTATTATTAACATTAGAATTTTCTGAATCTATTTTTTTAACCCAGTTTTACTTACCAGTTAGGAAAATTAACAGTATGCAATGTCTTTTTTCCCCCTAGAGGACGTTTACAGGAGAATTCTGTGTTTAAAAATCTACTTTTAATAAGCTCCTAAAAGGAAGTTTTCACTTAAAAAACATAAACAGACCAATTAGCATTCTGTAATTTCTTTCTGCTCTAATTTTCAGCTACATATTTAAACCAATGACATCTAGTCTATTACATTTATAGAATATCAAATATACTCTGTGCCTAATTTTTAATTCAAATTCAATAAATATTTATTGAGTAGTCTACTACATGCCTAACACTATGCTAAGTGCAGGGGAAAAAAAATAACCATTTTGGTTTTTCCTATCTTTCTCCTTGTCCTTATGGCCTATACATACAATCACTTGATGAAAAATGCCAGCAGGGGTGTACTACCCTAATTTACTATGCACTTGACTTAAATTTATACTTATGGACTCTAAACTCAAAATTCAAATAAATACCAACTATGAAAAAGAATCTACAAGAATATGTTTTTCTGTAGGGCACTCATCATTGAGGGGTAAAATTTTTCTCATATGCATCATGAAGGAAGATCCTTTTTCCATGTTGTTGGCAAAACTGTCAATCATCTTGATGAGCAGCAAATAAATGAATGCCCAATGATGGGATTCTGTATTATCCTTAAAAAAGAAATCCATCAACTCAACATCAACAGGTAAATGTTTATACTCGACAGCCATCAATTTCAACTATCCATGCAAAGAGACAGGTGAGCTGGACTGGTAAACCTCGAAATTAGAGAGGTATTAATCGTCTGCTTCCAGCCAACATAAACAGATGTTATTTTTAAACAGGCAAAAATCATCTCTTCCACTGAAATTTATTTGCAGCAGATAATGTTCTGTTACATTTTTAATCAAGCAGATGAAGTTACATTTAAATTGAAAATCTGCTTCACTTAACTAATCAGGCAAGTAAAATTCAGAGATGATTGAATGGCATTACACAGCGCACTATTACGGCAGGTAAATTGGGAAATTTACCTGTCACACCACACAGGGTATTGTTCACCCACTGCATCTGCAACTTAGAAGCAAAGCACTAAGACAAAAAGGGAAAGGCATGTAAAACAGACTTATAAATCGATCATATTTTATGAAAACATTATTAAGGCTGCCAGCAAAAATAAATAAATAAATAAATCATTTTAAAGTAAAAGGGAAAAAACACACACCACCTCTCAGTGACTCAATGAAAATTTACATGGGTTATGCTTATCTGCTTCATGTAAATAGCATGCCTGGTTATTTTGAAGATCAAGATACTACGGAAAAGATGCAAACAGTACATAATGACAGAGGCAAAGAAATAATGACCACATAATATCAAGAATAGACAGTCAAACACAGGAAAGGTAAATAAAACACTTTAACAAGAAGAGACACAGTAAACATTATGCTGATTTGCAAAATAAAATATCAGTCATCATACAGATCATTAATTTCATATCCAAAAATTTCTCAATCTACCTTATTTATAAAAAGCTTACCTATTTTAGTCACCTAGAGTTAGCAAGTTGACATTTCTAAAATGCCTTCAAAATTTACCTGACATATCCACAAAACTCTAATGGCTATTTTACGTGTTTCTTAACAGAAACCCAAAATTTACTTTCACTGTTTAATATCTGTAAACTCAAAATACGTCTGCTACAACACCTGAACTTTGTATCACTGCTCATTATGTTGACTGTGAATTATTCCAACAACATGTACCAACACCGCGTTAAATCTTTTATATCATAACTATAAGAGTTTTATCCTCACAATAACCTTTGAAATATAGAGGTTTATTTGCCAACCATTGTGAGTTTTCTTCTTTCCATTCTTCCTTCCTTTCCTCTCTTTCTACTTTCTCTTTTACCTTCTTTCCTTCCTTTTTACCTTCTCCTTTTTTCTTTCCTTTTCCTTTTTTTTTTTTTTTGGTGGGGGGTAGGGGGCGGCCAGTGGGGAAGCAATGGGTTTGAGAGGGGAGGTGGGGGTACAAATGGTATGTGACGCTGGGATGTGTTTTAAGTTACAAAGGCGAATAATGTTACTGTTGTATTCTTAACAATGAAGTGAACCTACCCTGATTTTCCACTAAGAGTGATAAATTTGGACTGACATATCCAAATTCTATCATGGGGTTCATAAAGCTAGCTAGAAATCATATACTCATCAGCATGGTGTTTTAATTACCAAGGCACCATTACTGGCTAGGTTTAGGGTTAGAACAGTTTTAGGTTTACAGAAAAATTGTGAAGATAGTACAACGAGTTCTCATGTGCACCACAGCCAGTTTCCCCTATAATAGTGACATCTTACATTAGTATGGTAAATTTGACAAAATTAATGAAACAATATTGATACCTTATTAACTGAAGCTCATACATGATTTCTTTAGTTTTTAATTTTTTTCTGTTCTAGAATTCTATCCAGGATACCACATTACACTTAGTTGTCATGTCTCCCTAGGCTCCTCTTGGCTGTGACAGTATCTCTGACTTTCATTGTTTTTAAGGAATACTGGGTTAGGTATTCTACAGAATGTCCCAAATTGGGATTTGTTTGATGTCTTTCTCATGGTTAGGCTGTGGTTATGGGTTTTGGGAAAAGAAAACCACAGCGGTAAACTGCCATTCTCATTATATCATATCAAGAGTATATCCTATCAATGTGACTGATCTTTCATGTCAGTCTTAATTGCCTGTCTTATTGTGTTCTCTCTTAGTCTCAGCCCTCCCCAAAACTGCATTTACCCCTTTCTGAACTTCATAATCTCCATTATGACATATTACTATTCTTCATTGTTGAAAGTGATAGTTTTTCACAGCTGCTCTCTGTAGGTATGGCTCAATGGGGCAGGAGGAATCAAAGAAACAACCCAGCTGTACTTTCCACACTGCACAAAGATTAGTCTTTGTGTCACTACTTACAGTGATTACTCTCAGTCTGTAGCTATTTCTGACCTAGCTCCATGCTTTTATTTTTTAATTTTATTTATTTATTTATTTATTGAGACTGAGTCTCACTCTGTCACCCAGGCTGGAATGCACTGGCGTGGTCTCAGCTCACTGCAAACTCCACCTCCCAGGTTCAAGCAATTCTCCTGTCTCAGCCTCTCAAGTAGCTGGGACTACAGGTGTGTGCCACCACACCCAGCTAAGTATTTTCAGTAGAGACGGGGTTTCACTGCGTTGGCCAGGCTCGTCTCAAACTCCTGACCTCGTGATCTGCCCACCCTGGCCTCCCAAAGTGCTGGGATTACAGGCGTAAGCCACCACACCCGGCCTAGATCCTTGCTTTTAAAGCCAGTACAAAAAGAAGCTCTCAACTTTCTGTTGTCCTGGCCCCATTTTACTCATATTTCCAGGGGTAGGACTGAGGCATCAGTAGTTTAAAAAAACAAACAAACAAACAAAAACACCAGTGTAAGACCTTATCTCTATATATTGACTGCTACAGTAAAGGCTGGTCTGTCTTCCCATTTACAGAATTCATAGCTATTACTCTTTGGGGTTTCCATTTCCGATATATCTTCAGTTATTCCCCTAATTTAGCCTTAGCTAAAATGAATCCTATATGATTTAAGCAGCAGGAACACTGCAATGCTGTTTAGACACCGGTAGATTAAGCATTGTCAGAAGCTGAGGGCACTCACTGACATTTAGAAGCATTACTAATTTTTAAAATATATACATTAAATGTATATATTTAATTCAGTTATGCATATATTTTAATATATGATGTATGCTTCCATATATTAAAATATAATTACATATTAATATATACCAAAATATATTGACATATATTATTGATTCCAACATGAAGACCACAAAAGTCTGGATATTAAAACACCACAAACAGTGATAAAATGTTCTTTTAAATGTGGGACTCATTTCTGTACTGAAGCAACAATCTATAGGGTGGCTGAGTTCCTAGGCTACCTTAATGAAAGCGTATTTAACAAATGAGGCTAGACTGGGCGCGGTGGCTCACGCCTGTAATCCCAGCACTTTGGGAGGCCGAGGCAGGCGGATCACGAGGTCAGGAGATCGAGACCATCCTGGCTAACACGGTGAAACCCCGTCTCTACTAAAAATACAAAAATTAGCCAGGCATGGTGGCAGGCGCCTGTAGTCCCAGCTACTCCTTGAGGCTGAGGCAGGAGAATGGCATGAACCCAGGAGGCGGCACTTGCAGTGAGCCAAGATCGAGCCACTGGACTCCAGCCTGGGTGACAGCAAGACTCCATCTCAAAAACAAAACAAAACAAACAAACAAACAAACAAACAAAAACAAATGAGGCTTAAGAAATATTTGTCAGAAGCATATGAAATTGCCATATTCAACCATTACACTAATTTCTTGTTGTTCAACCTCTTACATTTTTGATAAAAGACAAAAAACAGCCTTTACCACAACAGTATTTAAACAAAACAAAACTAAGAAATTATTTTAATTTATTTAATCTTAAATACTAGTATGTGAGAGAAAGGCTGGTCAGATCATATGGTCTGCAAGACAGACAATTCTACCATAATAAAAGAGACAAAATCATTTTGTGGGGAATGAGGCAATGGACTATAAAATGGGAGAAAAAATTTTACTGAAACAGAGTCTCACTCTGTTGTCCAGGCTGGAGTACAGTAGCATGATTTTGGCTCACTGCAGCGTCAGCCTCCTCGGGGGTTTAATCGATTCTCGTGCCTCAGCCTCCTTGAGTAGATGGGATTACAGGCGAGCACCACCACACCCAGCTAATATTTTGTATTTTTAGTAGAGATGGGCTGCGGTGTGCGGGGAGGGGTTTGGAGGAAGGGTATCACCATGTTGGTCAGACTGGCCTCAAACTCCTGGACTCAAGTGACCCGCCTATCTCGGCCTCCCAAAGTGCTGGGATTACAGGCATGAGCCACCACGCCTGGCCTAAAATGGGAGAGAACTTCTATTAGAGATGAGCTAGCAGAGGAAGAAATATTAGGAATCACAGAAAATCGAAGCTAGAGCTGCCAGAACAAAAACAATGAACATCAGTCCTCAGTTTGGAGGTGCTATTCTGCGATACGGTTTATACATATAGTTTTGCATGCTTAAAAGGAATGAAGATAAGAACTTTAAATAATTAAGGTATTTATATATTCTCATAGTAGGATGGTAAGAAAAACAGGCTGTATCAGGTACCTTGACTATACCCAATAAACCACAGGATCAAATATTCCTTTTTTTTTTTTCTTTGAGACAGTCTCACTGTCATCCAGGTTGGAGTGCAGTGGCACGATCCACCTCCCGGGTTCACGCAATTCTCGTGCCTCAGCCTTCTGGTAGCTGGAATCACGGGCATGTACCACCATGCCCGGCTAATTTTTGTATTTTTAGTAGAGACAGGGTTTCACCATATTGGCCAGGCTGGTCTTGAACTCCTGACCTTAAGTGATCTGCCTGCCTCGGCCTCCCAAAGTGCTGGGATTACAGACGTGTGCCACCATGCCCGGCCAGGATCGAATATTCTTAAGGCTGTTAGGGTAACTTTCCCATAAAGCACCTAGCACATAGCAAGACACTTAGTAAAAGTAATTTATTTTCCTAGACAGTGAATACTCCAAACCCTTAAATAGTGACACAAACAAGAATTAGGGAAGAATATTCCCTCTCCCTCCTTTTCTACTGAAGGGTACCATCAGCTACTAGGAATGACATAAGAAGTTAGATATAAATATCCTTCAACATAAACTTGTTATATTATAACATTCTTATTCAAATTATCCATTATGAACAACTTCTATTTTCTATGCCTTTATTGAGATAATAGTGTTTTAGATTCTGCTTTTCTACTTAATGAAAACACTACATAACATTTCTGATGACTCACACAGTCTTCCAAGATACAGCTGTACAATCAACAATTACTCCATTTTTCCTGGACATTCATGTTATTTCCTTTTTTAAAAAACATACTTTGCACTCACACGGTATTGATAGGAATGTAAAATACAGCTACTCTGGAACTTTAGCAGTTTCCTTTTTTTCTTTTTTGAGACAGGGCCTTGCTCTGTCACCCAGACTAGAGGCTGGAGTGCAGTGGTGTGATCTCAGCTCACCGCAACCTCCGCCTCCCAGGTTCAAGCGATTCTCGTGCCTCAGCCTCCCAAGGAGCTGAGATTACAGGTGCCACCATGCCTGGCTAATTTTTTGTATTTTTCGTAGAGATGGGGTTTCACCATATCGGCCAGGCTGGTCTCGAACTCCTGACCTAAACTGATCTGCCCGCCTCAGCCTCCCAAAGTGCTGGAATTACAGATGTGAGCCACCACACCCAGCCTAACTCATCGAATTTTTGTAATAATTCTACAAAGTAATTTTCTACATTGTACAATTGAAGAAACTATGCTTAGAGATGTTACGGCTTTCACAAGAAATACAGTGAGTATATGAACGAGGTATAATTCCACAAATCATGTTTATTCCCATTACACAATAAACCATAATTTCTGCCTAGAAGAGTAAACATGATGGTCATTAAAAAAATTAATAAGAAAAATAATAGGTTTATTAAGTAATAACAAGGGCCAATTTTAAGTTTCTCTCACAAGTTTATAGTAGATTCAGGCCAGTTGCTGTTAATCAGAAGAATCTGATACCAACTGTACCATTAACAAATCGAACACATAAAAGATCAAAGAAAAGTTTTTAATCTGATTAGAAGGTAAATATTCTTTAATGATCTCCCCCAAAAAAACAAACGTGCTGTAAAAATATATAGTTGTATTTGGCTCTATACAATAGATTTGCTTCTGAAATGCAGAATCTAACTGAAGTTTTATAGGTATTAAATTTCAAAACATACCATCAGAGATCTCTGTTAAAGGAATTCTACGGTGAGTCCTTTGGAAAAGAATGTTTTCCTTATTTTGTCTGTTCTGTATTACATACCCATATAACAGTTTTATAGTATGCATAAGATAAAATGCTATATGAACAGTTAACTACAGTAGTCTGCAAGTACATTTTCTTATTCTGGTTAATGGAAACTTCATAATCAGTCTGCAGGGTCATAAGAGGTTGAAAGAGAAGGAACTCAGAAAAAACATGTTAAATCTTCAAAATGAACAATGAGACACCAACCAAAAGAATATCTGTCACACTACTGGAATGCCGACATTGCTAACTCAAGTCCCTAGTGCATGCCCACGTTGCTCACTCAAGTCACAACTGGAATGCCCACGTTGTTCACTCGAGTCCCTATTGGAATGGCCACGTTGCTCACTCAAGTCCCTATTGGAATGCCCACGTTGCTCACTCGAGTCCCTATTGGAATGGCCACGTTGCTCACTCAAGTCCCTACTGGAATGCCCACGTTGCTCACTCAAGTCACAATTGGAATGCCCACGTTGCTCACTAAAGTCCCTATTGGAATGCCCACGTTGCTCACTCAAGTCCCTATTGGAATGCCCACATGGCTCACTCAAGTCCCTATTGCAATGCCCATGTTGCTCGCTCAAGTCCCTACTGCAATGCCCACATTGCTCACTCAAGTCACAACTGGAATGCCCACACTGCTCACTCAAGTCCCTATTGCAATGCCCACATTGCTCACTCAAGTAACAACTGGAATGCCCACGATGCTCACTGAAGTCTCTCTATTGGAATGCCCACATTGTTCACTCAAGTCCCTATTGGAATGCCCACATTGCTCAATCAAGTCCATAATGCAATGCCCATATTGCTCACTCATGTCGTTGCTCACACAAAAACTGTTGCTCAAATTAAAATACCAATGCTGGAAGTACTTTATGAACCACTGCAAGACACCGTGTATATTCAAATTTTTAAGAAGAAATGCCTTTAAAAATAACTTATCTATGAATGGTCCATAAATATTATTTTGCACACTCAAAACACCAGATGACATTCCCTTCTATTAATGCGTAAGACAATGGGGGGAAAGTGAATGTTTAAAAGTCAGTCTGTAATGTCAAAATATCCGGCAAAGTTCAGAAAATTATCAAAAGTGAAGGTATAAAAGATGCTAAAGACCATTTTAAGAAAACAGTACAAATGATAATTTTAGAGTAACAAAAGCAACAAATTTACAATTTTAACAGATTTTCCTAGCTGTTGAACCTGCCCAGCAAATTTTAAAACTTAGTCAAGGTGTGCATAAAGAATCTAAACGAAATAACATGTAATTTGCAAATAATCCCTTATGAATTTTGCCTCTGATCTTCACTTTGTTTTTAAAATGACAATTTGGTAGCTGAAGAAAGTACATTAGAACTTTAAGAGACACAGGTCCCATAAAAACTCGCCTCATTTATTAAACCAAGTGTACAAAAATTCTCTTATTTAATGAATTTGATAGAAAAAAATCAACCAGGTCAAGATCACCCATGAATAGAGTAAACTGCTACTTATTGGTAAGATTTAAGAAATAACAGAAGAATACATCTACCAAAATAATTTTTTCCATCTGAAAAACATCCATTCCTCTTACTCAAATATAAGCAATATTAGAAAAGGTAACCATGTTAAGTCATTATAAGCTAAGGTCTTGGAATTTTATTAGTAACTAGTTTGTAGAACTCAAGGTCCTCTAAAAACTATGGTTGAGGCACTGAATGGTATCTGCAGGGAAGAAGAGTCCCTAAACAGAGGTTCAAGAAGATGTCAAATATGGGAGGCTGAGGGAGGATTGCCTGAGCCTAGGAGTTAGAGACCAGCCTGAGCAAGATGACAAGACACCATCTCTAAAAAAAACTTTTTAAAATTAGCTGGGCATGGTGGCATGCACCTGTAGTCCCAGCTACTCAGGAGGCTGAGGGAGGAGGATTCCTCAAGCCCAGGAATTCGAGGCTGCAGTGAGCTTATGATCGCACCACTGCACTTCCGCCTGTATCTTAACCAAAAAATAAAAATAAAAAATAAAAAAGAAGATGCCAGTAGACTTTCATTAATTTCACTGTTTTGTCTATTAATGAAACTGACAGAACATGAAAACAGCACTCACAAACAAGCTAACAACTCACCAGCAAGAAACAATGCTATAGCTGGAATTCTGCCACCTTGGTTCTCTCCACTACACAATTTACCTTCACCCCACTTCTAACAACTACACATACAAGGGCCAATGAAAGAGCAAATAAGTAAAAGAACTTAACAGGGAAACTCAATTGTACACATTTCTTCCCACAAAGTTCTTTTTAAGGTGTCGCTTCCAATTTTACCCCAAGTAAAATCTAAAAATCATACAAAACTACAAAAGTGTATTTTATAAACCTACTGTCAACCATACTATTACAATTGCTTCAACCCAGGACAAGTATAAATACTAGTTAACTACAGTCCTGCAATCTGTGAGCTTTTTTCTCTAGAACAGGAGAAAAAAACTCCCTGGTTTTTCTACTGATGAACTTAAACCTTTTGAGCTTTTGATCTATACTTTGATGGCTGTGTGTTACCCTATAGATAAGGCCTCAAACAGTCATTGGAAGTAGCACCATTTTATCACCCCAGAGGTTAAGAAAGGTGCTATTACTGAAGTTGTTTTAAAAGGTTGGGACAATGAGAAGAGCTAGAATGTCCAAGTATTTGTGGATTAGAGCAGAAATTGTGTCATTAGAGTAGACTTAGAGAAGAAACGTGTCGATGAGTAGAATAGAAATATGTGTCAATGAGATCCAAGAAAAAGACAATATAGGGATTAAATGCATCTGAACTCAGACCATTTGGTTTCATTGGCATGTTTTCATGATGTACACAAATTACACCCAAATTCCTCTTACCAACCCTAGAGAACAAAAATGCGTACCAGTCCCATCACTCTATCCCCTTTTCCCAAACAAACAGACAATTTTGGCTGATCCTGTCTTAGTTATCCTTCCTAAGTCCAAAAGCTCTCAGAACTCTCCTCAACACTCTGTTTCAAAAGATTGGAATTGGTATGTGAGAATGAAACCTATTTGCTACTCTTAGGTAGCTTACAAACAGAATTCAAAAAACTCTTGAGTGTAGCAATCTTTGGAAAATTTCAATTAAGAAAAATTTCTCATACATATGAATAGCCTCTGAGAACTACAATATGTCTATGGCACCAAATAATTAATATTAGAATAATTCTAAGACATCAGAAACACATCCATATATTCTGTTTAAGGTTGTATTTGAGAAAGATTCCCAGAAAAATCAGTTCAACTATTTTAAAAGTAAGGACACTGAAAAGAACAAACTTGTTTTAAATATAAAATGGTTAGGGTAGACTTTTTTATTCTTTTTCTAATTTTTTTTTTTTTTAAGAGATAGGATCTCACTTTGCAGCCAAGGATTGCAGTGGCACAATCATAGCTCATTACAGTCTCAACTTCCTGGGCTCAAGCGATCCCTCCAGCCTCAGCCTCTTGAGTAGCTGGGACTACAAATGCATGCCACCAAGCCCTATCTTTTGTATTTTTTGTAGAGACATGGTTTCGCCATGTTACCCAGGCTGGTCTTGAACTGCTGGGCTCAAGCAAACCACTTGCCTTGGCCTCAAAATGTGCTGGGTGGGACTGCAGGCATAAGTTGCCAGAGCCAGCCAAAAAATTTTCAAAAGGAACATAGCAATAATTAAAATCAATGAGAAACTGCATTCAGAATTTAGAAATTTTCTTTATAGTCTACTTTGTGTCCAAAGGAATGCTAGTATATACACACAACAAAAACCCCATGTTATAAAAGTAATTAAAAGATAATAAAGAAAATAGCAAATTTATCTTAAAAAATTTCTGAAGACTATTAAATTCTAAAACCAGCAATGTTGGGTTACCAGGGGAATTAGACTTAAGATAAAGTATCCATAGTGAAATTCCCACTGGAGCTACATTTAGGTCAGAGAAGCTGGCGCACGTCTAGTTTGCAAAAGAAAAAAAAATCTCACAAAGTCTTCCAAACATCTCAAGGATGACATCTCACCTCTAGCGGGTAGGCCCCCAAGTGAAAAGTATGGTCCCATTCTATTAACAACATATTTGTGGATTTTTAGAACGAGCTTATGCCAGAGTACCAGAATTTCAGTCAACAAATAGCTGCCTTCCTGACATCAATGGAATGCTTCCCTTGAACTGACATCAAATCTCAAAAGAGGTTAAGAAAGATTATATCCTAGTAGACCCAGAAATTTTAAAATGTACCATAGGCAGTATCCTGACTATGACCCCTGTATTTTGTTTCTTCATAAATAGAGAAACTTAAAATTGGGCATTCCAGTTCATTTACTGGGAAGGTTAAGATTATTGCTTAACACAATATCAGTAACAATTTGTCAGGAGATCTTTCAACAGTTCAAAGAATTGCTACACAAACGGCAGAGAATTAGAATGTCTCGGGATGTAGGAAGGGTCCTGGAACTTTTAAAATTAAATTATTAATTAGACTTAAGATAAAGTATTGCTTATCTAATGCACTGGTTTCTGTCATTACGGCTGTGACTCTGTCTCCCCTACTAGAATGTGGGCTCCTGAGGGCGGGTCCCTGTCAGATTTGGCTGTGTCCCTCCAGCATCTGGCCCAAGGCTGGGTATTTGATAAACCTCAGTAGATGCTAATTTTCTACTCCTCAAATATGTACTGGGTACTTTGTTTTTGTAGAGATGGGGTCTTGTTATGTTGCTAGGGCTAGTCTTGAACTCCTGGGCTCAAGCAATCCTCCTGCCTCGGCTCTCAAAAGCACTGGGATTACAGGCATGAGCCAGCACGCCTGGCCTGGGTACTTTGTTTACATAATTTAATTTTAGTAGGCGTTATGGAGGAAATACCGAATATGCCAAAATATGAGATCGTAAATGTAAAGTGAATTCTTATCTTCCCAATAAGCAGTTTTAAAACTATGCTTTTTTTGTTTTGTTTTTATAACCTTTTTGACATATAAATACATAAACCTTTAGAGGGATAGGTGAAACAGTCTAATGTGCTCTAAAGCATTAAGTCAAACCTCAAATTATTACACAGAAATCAAGAGTGAGTAGCAGACTTCCACTTCCAACTCAGATAAATTAACAGGGATCAGATTTCCCGTCCCACCTGAAACCATCAAAAAATAAACAAAAAATAGACAAAACACATGAAAAAGCGTTTAAAACACGAGACATTAAGAAACAGGACAATAATCCATGAAAGACATCTAGGTGAATTCTAGCACTGCCCAAAGTTTATTGCCTTCAGATTTTCCAGGCCCCAGAACAGACAGCAAGAACCCAGGTAGACTCTTGACAAACTCCTGGAGTTTAGCAGAAAGGGATGAGAACCCAGGAAGACTAAAGACAAATAAATTTGAAAGATCTAGTAATAAAGGAGAGAATGCTACACAGAGAAATACTCCCACAGATCTCCAAAGGAGAATATTTCTGAATATTCGGCAAAGTGTTCAAAATGTGTAAAGAAAACATGTGAGGCTGGGGAAAGAATCACCCAAAAGGATTACAGAGAATAGTACCAGGCATTCACACAGGGATGGGAATAGTGTCTATTTCCACCAGTGAGACTGCAAAATCTCATCAATTTACATGATGTTGCATAGAGCAGTAAGAAGGGTTGTGTAGTAGGATTAGTTAGCCCCAAACATTCTTGTTTCCACCTAGCAAATCTTAAACGCAAGGCCCAAAAGGATTAAGCCATTTCTTGGTAATTTAATTTTATCCTAGAACAAAGGTCAAGAATATTAGTAGGAATATAAAAATAACCAGCATAAAACAAGTTAAAATTAATGTCTGGCTTCTAATCAAAGATTCCAAGGCATGCAAAAAAGCAGGAAAGTATGACTCATTGTAAGGAGAAAAATCAATTAATACTAACCCAGACTTGAAAAAGATGTTAAAATTAGGGGACAAGAACATTAAAACCATTGTTACAACTATATTCCTTACATTCAAATAGTACAGACATGGAAGATATTAGAAAGACCAAAATAAAACTTTAGAGATGAAAGTTACAATATTTGGCCAGGCATGGTGGCTCATGCCTATAATCCCAGCACATATGGAAGCTGAGGCCAGGAGTTCAAGACCAGCCTGGAAACAAAGCAAGATCCCATCTCTAAAAGGAAAAAAGAAAAAAAAAAAAAGGAAAGCTACAATATCTGGTATTAAAAACACATTGGACAGAATAGACACTGCAGAAGAAAAAAATGACCTTGAAGACAAAACAAGGAACTATCTATAATAAAACAGAGAGAAAAAAGTAAAAAATAACCCATAAAAAGCATCACTGATATGTGAGACAACTTCAAGCAGCCTAGTACACATATAATTCCAATCTCCAAAGAGGGCCAAAAAACTGAAAGAAATTTTTTGAAATTTTCCAAAATCTGACCTTTAAATGGCATTCTTACGCAGGATATTTATCAAGAGAGCCATATTCTGGGCTATAAAATACATTTCAACAAACTTAAAAGGATTGAAGTTTTACAAAGTATTTTATTTGAACACAATACATTAAATTAGAAATTAACCACAGAAAGATCTCTGGACAATCCCAAATTACGTACAGAAATTAAATAACACACTTCTAAATAACCCCTGGGTCAAAGGAGAAATCACAAAGGAAATCAGAACGTATTTTGAACAAAGAGAAAATAAAGACACAACATAGCAAAATTTGTGGGATGCCCTAAAGAAGTACTTAGTGGGAAATTGATAGCACTAAAAGAATGATCTCAAATCAACAACCTGAGCTTCCACCTTAAGAAAACAGAAAAATAAGAGCAAATAAAATCCACTGTAAACATTAAAAAGAATGTAATTTTTAAAAAGTTAAAAATAAAAAAAGTTTAAAAAGTTAAAAAAAAATAGAGAAAAATCAGTGAAACCAAAAGTTGGTTCCTTGAGAAAGTCATTAAAATTTACTAATCTCAAGACAGACATACCAGGAAAAAAAATGAGAAAAGTGGTATCACTAGAGATTCTACACATATTATTATTAGTTTTTGAGATGGAGTCTTGCTCTGTCACCCAGGCTGGAGTGCAGTGGCGCGATCTCGGCTCACTGCAAACCTCTGCCTGCCAGGTTCAAGCAATTCTCCTGCCTCAGCCTCCCGAGTACCTGGGACTACAGGTGTGCACCACCCTGCCTGGCTAATTTTTTGTATTTTTAGTAGAGACGGGGTTTCACCATGCTGGCCAGGCTGGTCTCGAACTCCTGACCTCGTGATCCGCCCACCTCAGCCTCCCAAAGTGCTGGGATTACAGGCGTGAGCCACCCCACCCAGCCGAGATTCTACACATAACTGAGGGAATATTATAAACAGCTTTGTGCCAATAAAATCAGCAACTTAGATGAGATTTTTCTTAAGTCCTCCAAACACATGAACCAGTGAAGCTTTCTGAAGAAACTGATAGCCTGATTAGCTATGTCTATTTAAAAAATTAAATTTGCAATTATAAACTCACCTGCATAACATTCCTAAAGGTGATGTTAACATTGTTCTCAGTTGGCCGAAGACTAATTTGATGAATCTGAATTTTCCAAAACAGATGATTCTGATGAGTCAGATGATTCTGATGTTAGTTCTGTTTAGAAATAACTCCAAGAACAGTTTTTATATTTTATTTTCACACTGAAAATCAGATTTGCTTCAGCCTCAAAGAGTGTGTTTATGTGAAATTACATGAGAACTGGCAGCAAGCTGCAGCTTTTTTTCTAAATGCAAAAAGGGTTAAAAAAATAATATTGCATGACCAAAATGTGATTTAACCCAGAAATACAAGACCACTTTAATATTTGAAAATTCAAGTCATGTAATTCACTATATTAAAATTGTGTGATTATCTCGATCAGACCCACAAAAAGCATTTGACAAAATCCAACATCTACTCCTGGTAAAAACAGCAAACCAAAGAAAATTTCCTCAAACCAATAAAGGGTATCTACAAAAAACCTACAGCTAATATTTACATAATAATGAAAGACTGTATACTTTCCCTCAAAAACAGGAACAAGACAAGGATGTTCACTCTCGCCCTATACTTAAGGTTCCCTTCCATCCAATATGGCAAGAAAAAAAAAACAAAAAAGTCATCTGCATTGGAAAGAAGTAAAACTGCCTTTTTTATTCCCAGGTGATAAGTTCCACAACTTAAAAATCCAAAAGAATCTACCAAAAAAGAAAAAAAATTCTAGAACTAGTAAGTGATTTCAGCAAAGTTATAGGAATCAAGATCAATATATACCAGTAATACTGGAAACTGTAATTTTAAACTGGTATCATTTCACAATAGCATCAAAAAATATAAAACACTCAGGGATAAATTTGACAGAAGATTTATAAACTAAAGTTATATTGTTGACAGAAATAAAAGAAGACCTAAATAGACAGATATACCGTGTTCACGATCTGGAATACTAAATATTTTTAATATGTCAATTCTCAATGGATATACAGATTGAACACAATCCCAATTCACCCCCCACCACACTTTCTGGAAGAAACGGACTACACTTAAAATCTATACAGAAATGCATCTGGGTGCAGTGGCTCATGACTGTAATGTCAACACTTTGGAAGGCCAAGGCAAGTAGATCTCTTGAACCCAGGAGTTTGGGACCAGCCTGGACCACAGAGTGAATAAATACCTAAAAAAAACTTAGATGTGATGGTGAATGCCTATAGTTTGACCTACACAAGAGTCTGAGGTAAGAGAATCAAGTAAGCCCAGGTCAAGGCTGCAGTAAGCCATGATCATGCCAATGTACTCCAGCCTGGGCAATAGAGGGAGACCCTGTTTCTTTTCTTCTTTTCTTTTCTTTCTCTTCTCTCTTTTCTTTTCTTTCTCTCCTTTCCCTCCCTCCCTTCCTTCTGAGACAGAGTCTATCTATCTTGTCTGTCTATCTATCTATCTATCTATCTATCTATCTATCTATCTATCTATCTATCTATCTATCTAAGACAGTCTCACTCCGTCACCCCGGCTGGAGTGCAGTGGTGTGATCTCGGCTCACTGCAACTTCCGCCTCCTGGGTTCAAGTGATTCTTGTGCCTCAGCCTCCCAAGGAGCTGGGATTACAGGCACACAGTATCATGCCTGGCTAATTTTTGTATTTTTAGTTACAGAGATGGGGTTTTGCCATTTTGGCCAGGCTGGTCTCGAACTCCTGACCTCAAGTGATCTGCCCAGTTCGGCCTCCCAAAGTGTTGGGATTACAGGCGTGAGCTACCATGACTGGCCAGAAGATCCTCTTTCAAAAAAAGAAAAAGAAATGCAAAGGACCTAAAATAACCAAAACAACTTTGAAAAAAAAAAGTTGGAGGATTAACACTATCTAACTTCAATACTAATTATAAAGCTACAGAATCAACAGAGTATAGTATAGGCATCATGAAAGACAAATAAACAGAATACAACAGACAACTGATTTTCAACAAAACTGAAAAAATAATTCAATAGAGAAAGGATAATTGTTCAACAAATGGTGCTAGAAGTTAGATATCTCCATATAAAAATAAAGGACTCTGATTTACACCTCACATCATATAAAAATTAACTCAAAATGAAGCAAAAACCTAAATATTAAGCCTAAAACTGTAAGATTTCTATAAGAGAACATACAGAAATTATCTATGACCTTTAGTTAGGCAAAGATTTTTGAGATTCAACCCCAAAAGCATGATCCATTAAAGAACAAACTGACACACTGGGCTTCAAAATTAATAACTTTTGCTCTTCAAAAGACACTATTAAGTGAATACAAAGCCAAAGCAAAGACTGGACAGTTTGCAAATAAACACATGAAAAGATGCTCAACATCATTAGTCCTTAATCACAATGTGCACCCACTGCACAAATATCAGAACGACAAAATTATCAAGACTGTTCGTAGGGTTAGCAAGGATTTGGAGGAACTGAAAATCTCATCTGCTGCAGTATGAGTGCAAACATAAAAAGGTAAAAACACTTTAGAAAACTGCTATTTTTTTCTTTTCTTTTTTTTTTTTTTTTTTTGAGATGGAGTCTTGCTGTCACCCAGGACGGGGTGCAGTGGCATGATCTTGGCTCACTGCAACCTCCGCCTCCTAGGTTCAAGCAATTCTTGTGCCTCAGCCTCCCAAGTAGCTGGGATTATAGGCACATGCCACCACACGTAAAAATACTTTTTGTTTTTTTTTGTTTGTTTGTTTGTTTGTTTTTGAGACAGAGTCTCACTCTGTTGCCAGGCTGAACTGCAGTGGTGCGATCTCGGCTCACAGCAACCTCCACCTCCCGGGTTCAAGTGATTCTTCTGCCTCAGCCTCCCGAGTGGCTGGGACTACAGGCGCACACTACCATGCCTGGCTAATTTTTGTATTTTTAGTAGAGACGAGGTTTCACCATGTTGGCCAGGATGGTCTCAATCTTTTGACCTCATGATTTGCCTGCCCCAGCCTCCCAAAGTGCTGGCATTACAGGCATGAGCCACAGTACCCGGCCTGTATTTTTTAGTAGAGACAGAGTTTTGCCATGTTGGCCAGGCTGGTCTTGAACTCCTGACCTCAGGTGGTCCAACCACCTCAGCCTCCCAAAGTGTTGAGATGACAGGCATGAGCCATCGCACCTGGCCTGGAACTGTTGTTTCCTTCGAAAGATAAACACACATATCCATTACAATTCAGCCATTCCACTCCGAGGTATTTACTCAAGAAGAAAGCATCTATCCATACCAAGAGTTGTACTAAAATGTTCTTAGCAGCTTTGTAATTTCTAAAAACTGGAATTCAAATGTCCATCAATAAGTGAATGGATAAACTGTGGGATAACCACAATCAATATATAATAAAAAGTATTGATACTTGCTACTTTATGGATGAATCTCAATTATGCTGACTGAAATAAGCCAGCCCTCCTCCACTCCTGAAGGGTCCCTACTGTATGATTCCACTTATGCAAAATTTTAGAAAGTGCAAAACTAATCTCTCATGACAGAATGCAATGGTTCCCTGGGGATGGACGGTATGAAGGGGCAGGAGACAAGATCACAAAGGAACATGAGGGACTTCTGGAGATTTAGGTTATGTTCACTATCTTGATTGTGATGATGGCTTCCTGTGTATATATGTATCTTAAAACCTATGAAACTGTACATTTTAAACGTGTCAAATATACTATACTATAGTTGACATACTATAGTATATTATGTATAATTCTATGTATTATATGTAGTATATAAGTATATATGTAGTATATACTATAGTATGTCAACTGTAAAGTTTACAAAAGTACCACTTTGCTAACAGCCATCTATATGATCGTTTACACATAGGTTTTTATTCAGATTTAGTTTCTGAAGTTATCTCCACAACTTTCCAAAGTATCTGACCATGCTCATTAAAAGGATATTAATGTGAAGTAGAAGAGAGTTGGATTATCCTCCTTTTTCAGTAGAGATGAGGTCTCACCATGTTGCCTAGGCTGGTCTCAAACTCTTGGGCTCAAGTAATCTGGCCGTCTCTACCTCCTGTCATGGATTTAATGTCCACCTGTTACAGCTCAAGAAGTGTTGTCTGCCATGCCACGGTCTTCAAGAGTCAAATGCAGAACTGCTAGCTCTTGATGGGCATTTACGCGTGATCTTCCAACTAAAGGAGTTATGTAGCTATGACGATCTGAGCTTATAATATTCCGTATACTATAGCTGCCATGTAAAGACCAAAGTGAACATACGTTGACATATCACTTATCTTATTTGGGCCTGAGATTATTAATGTACAAAGTGAGAGCACTGGCCTTGAAGCAGTGATTTATAATTGATCTGTGCCACTTTTTTTTCTTTTTTTTTTGAGACAGAGTCTTGCTCTGTCCCTCAGGCTGGAGTGCAGTGACGCCATCTTGGCTCACTGCAAGCTCCGCCTGCCAGGTTCATGCCCTTCTCCTGCCTCAGCCTCCCGAGTAGCTGGGACTACAGGAGGCTGCCACCATGTCTGGCTAATTTTTTTGTATTTTTAGTAGAGATGGGGTTTCACCGTGTTAGCCAGGATGGTCTCGATCTCCTAACCTCGTGATCTGCCCGCCTTGACCTCCCAAAGTGCTGGGATTACAGGTGTGAGCCACCGCGCCCAGCTGCCACTTATATTTTAACACAGACTTGTTAAGATATAGATTCCTTGGCCAGGCATGGTGGTTCATGCCTGTAATCCCAGCACTTTGGAAGGCGAGGCAGGTGGATCACTTGAGGTCAGGAGTTCAAGACCAGTCTGGCCAACATAATGAAACCCTGTCTCCACTAAAAATACAAAAATTAGCCAGTTGTGGTGGCCTGTGCCTGTAATCCCAGCTACTCGGGAGGCTGAGATAAGAGAACTGCTTGAACCCAGGAGGTGGAGAGTGCAGTGAGCTGAGATCGTGCCACTGTACTCCAGCCTGGGCAACAGAGCCAAGACTCCATCTAAAAAAAAAAAAAAATTATTGAGCCCCACCTGCATACATCTGTGGTAGAGATTAAGAACATACAGTTTTTTGGTTTTTTTTGAGATGGAGTTTCGCTCTTGTCGCCTAGGATAGAGTGCAATGGCACGATCTCGGTTCACTGCAACCTCGGCCTCCCAGGTTCAAGCAATTCTCCTTCCTCAGCCTCCCGAGTAGTTGGGATTACCGGCACCAGCTACTACACCCGGCTAATTTTTGTATTTTGAGTACAGACGGGGTTTCAACACATTGGCCGGGCTGGTCTTGAACTCCTGACCTCAAGTGATCCACCTGCCTCGCCTCCCAAAGTGCTGGGATTATAGGCGTGAGCCACTGCCCCCAGCCCATGTTAAATGTGACATACAACTAGATTTGGGATATTCTGGCCCACATAATGCTTTAGGACCTTTTAGCTGCAACATTATTATTTTTGAGACAGGGTCTCACTCTGTTGCCCAGGCTTGAGTGCCATGGTGCAATCCTAGCTTAATGCAGCCTCAAACCCCATTATTACTCAAGTGACTCTCCTGCCTCAGCCTCCCAAGTAGCTGGGAATACAGGCACACCCCACCACGCCTGGCTAATTTTTTTATTTTATTTTTAGTAGAGATGAAGTCTCGCTATGTTGCCTGGGCTGATCTCAAACTCCTGGGCTCAAATGATCCTTCTGTCTGAGCCTCCCTTAGTGCTGGGATTACAGGCATGAGCCTTTTTAAGGCTAGTCAAGTGAAGAAGTGGGAATGGAGATGGAACAAAGAAATCCGTGACTGGTTGTGATCCATTAGTTGTAACACCACTGCACCCGGACCAGCTTAGCTGCAACGTTCTTGTAAGTATTATTTCCACAGGTTCCAACAGGATCCTTCAAGTAGGGTGTCTGGCAGCCTTAAGAGTCAAAAAGAGGTAACACAGTGGTAGTTTGAATAAGGTGACACCACAGAAGGTCCTAATGTTTAATGTTTAAGGGAATCTCTTTAAATTCTACTGTTTACAAAGATGGTTTAATTTATTGTGTTAAGTTTCAAGTTTAAGTTTTGAGCCTAGTCTATGTTATAAACAGGTTACTCTTGATTAACCACTACATTCTTTATCTTTATTCCATTTTTCACTTGCCAGAGAACCTAATGACTGATTAGTTTTTCTGATGTCTTTCTGCTTATTTTTCTCCTCCTTAATCCTGGGAGATTTTAGAATACAGAGGTTCTACAGGAATTCTAGAAAGCTGAAAATATCCTACACTGTTGTAGCTTCAAAATGGAAGAGCAAATGTTATAGGAACAGAACGGCAAAGATTTCTGGAGTATCTTCAGCGCTTGGGAGTGAAACATTAAAACAATTTTCCCAAAATCTCAAAAATCATTGAGATACAGTAATAATGTCAGCTATAACAGCAGACCAAGTTCCACCCCAACAAAATCAAAAGGTTCTCAGTTTGTCACCTCCTCTCTGCTTCTACCACTTTGAGTTCAAAAATAACATCTTTGTTTTGAAATACTAAAGTTAAAATAAAATTAACATTTCTACCACTAAACTGGCTTCTTATATTACTTTACATAATAGATTAGTAAATCATTTAAAATGTTACAGGGTAATATAACATTTATATTTTAATATATAGCCATGTTAGGTAACCACATATTTTAATATTTGCTTAAATATTCCAAAGATAGATTAAAATGTTGTCACAGCCAGTAGCATCAAGTTACTGTAGTTGAATTCTGAATTTAGTCTTTAACCTAAAATTTTATTAACATTCTGTTCCTCTGGACCTAACAGCAACTGAAAATCTGTTTCAAAAGGATTATATAAATCGGAGAGAAATAGAAAAACATACCTGTTAAAGTATGAACAAATGTGAACAGCATGCAAATCAACTTTTATCTCTAAACTTTATTTCTGATTGTGCCCCAAACAGACAAGCCAATGATTTAATACCTTGGTATTTTTTGTGCCACTAGGCAAAGTAACCTAATTCTCTTAATTCCTGGAATTGGCTGCTGTTCCAAGACTAGGAGGATTGCACTGGAAGTGGCTGTGGCATACTATAATACAATTAATATGCTACAGAGAGAAAAATAAGTTTAATTTTATTCAGCAGACAAACTAATATTTTTTTATGCCACTTGCAAACCAGGTTGTAAACAACTGGTGACTGCCCCATATTCTTTGATCTTTCACACATAGTGTACAAAATAATTCTTCTACTGATGGATTCTAAGGAGAATAAGATGAAAAGGTTACCACATTAATTTTATATATAATACACATATCTTTGTTAAAAAAAAAAGTCAATCCACCAGAGAAAACACTTGTTTCACATTAGCTAAATATATGCATTTATTATCTTCAGTAATACAAAATTCAAGATAAAAGGGAAAATCTCAAGGGGGAAATGTCATATAAATGACTCTCTCAAACTTGTCTGACACAATTACTCCCCTTCATGTTCCCTCCAGATACTCCTTACACACTGTTCCCACATCATCCATTCCTTGATCACTACCCATAATCAAAATCCATTTTTGACTTTTGCTTTTCCTCCTTTTGCTTCACTCATCAAGTATGTCTGCCTAGAGTCGTTGTTCAACATGGGGCTAAGTGCTTAAAACCAAACAACTTCCTTGGGTCTATATAATACCCTTTAACATTTGGGATCTAGAAAGGGAAGAAGTAACTACATACGTATCCATTCCTTGAGGCATTTTAATTGGTTTCTAAGCAAGGATGTTGTACAGACTCAAACTGTCACAATAAATGCTCTCTTAACAAATCTCTACATAACCCACTGACTAAAAATGACTAATGCTCTCAATTTGTTTTATAAAACATACCGATGCTACAGGATATTAAATAATCAAGAGTGGCAGGCCACACTCAAGTTCACCCATTCACTTCTGCTTCAACCAGTTGAAGTACATCCTTACCAAGTATATTCTGTATATACTCTAACGTAACATGGCAGTGCAAATATCTCCTCAAGACAGTAGTTGCATTTCCTTTGAATATACAGGCAGAAGCAGAACTGCTGGATCAGACAGTAGTTCTAGTTTTAGTTTTTTGAGGAACCTCCATACTGTTTCCTGTAACAGCTATAGCAATTTGCAATCCCACCAACAGTGTACACAGGTTCCCAATCTCCACATCTTCACCACTATTTGTTATCATTTTACTTTTTGATAATAGCCATTCTAACAACAGGTGTGAGGTGATACCTCATTGTGGTTTGATTTGCATTTCCCTGAAAAGTGATATTGAGCACCTTTTCACATATCTGTTAGTTATTTGTATGCCTTTGGAAAAATGCCTGTTCAGGTCCATTACCCCATTTTTTAATTGGGTTACTTGGTTTGCTACAAATATGTATTATGAGTTCCTTATACATTTTAGATATTAGTCCCCTATCAGATACGTGGGTTATAAATATTTTCTCTCATTCTGTAGGTTAACTTCTTTTTTTTGAGACAAGGTCTCACTCTGTCACCCAGGCTGCAGTGCAGTGGCACAATCATGGCTCACTATAGCCTTGACCTCCTGGGCTCAAGGGAATCTGCCTGCCTCAGTTTCCCCAAGTAGCTGGGACTACAGGCAAGCACCACACCTGGATAATTTTCTTTTTTTAGAGACAGGGTCTCATTACGTTGCCCAGGCTAGTTTCAAACGCCTGGGCTCAAGTCATCCTCCCTCCTTATCTTCCCATGTGCTGGCACTACAGGACTGAGCCACAGCACCCGGCCGCCTTTTTTTTTTTTTTTCAACTAAGTTTGTGATGGTGAAGAATACAATGACTACTAGTACAGACTGGTGTCACAGCACTGATTCATGCTGAGGCATCAGCAGTTTTACCCATCATGTGGTTTTCTGTTTTCATTGTTTTGGTGTTTGCTTCCACATTATCAGTACAAACACTAAAACAATGATAACAGAAAACCACATCTTACTATGATGAAAATAGTTTTGACCTTATAGGATCAACAGGTTATATTTGTGAAACACTACACTGTACTATGCTACCAACTCCTTGCATCAGGAAGTTAATTTACTTATTAAAATACCTAGCTACAATAAGGTGTTAATATTGAATGAATGAATGTTTTAACATAAGAACATTGGTAACAAGGGTAAATAAATATCAACTAACTTAGAGGCTAAAGAAAGTGATAGCATTACTATTTTAACAAATGCAGAGACAATAGATGACAAAGTCGTATCTATCTGAACATTCCCATTAACCATCTAAAAAGCTCACAAACTTTCAGTTACCAGAATAACAGAGTTTGGCTTATAACATAAATGTGGGTATCTTTTTAACGATGATTTATTTTATAAAGAATTTAATAGTTTCAGCCAAAAGTCAAAAACATTTATACAAAGAATTTTTGACCTCTTTTATAGCCATTTGGGCTATCCTGCTATGAAAAGAATTTAAAAACCGTTTTACTCCATTCAGAGAATCCAGTCAAACATTTACTGACAACCGCCATATACAGGGCACTCTATTATATGCTGTGGCGTTTACGGGAAAAGATAAAATATGATCTCTCCCTTTGGGAACTTACACATAGATCATGAAACGAGTTGAAAAACAGCTAAAACAACCTTTTAATAGCAACATATTAAACCATAATGGCCATTAAAAAAGAAATGTGATATCTAATGTCAATTCACGCATCTGGAGAAAATTCATGAAAATGGCTTAAATCAAAGAAAACAGAAATTTAATTCAAATAAATGTTCACAAAAATGTGGCCTTACTAACGAAAAAGGGAAACAAACTCAAACCATAACTTAAACCAAAGAAATCTATCAAGAAATCTAAGAATGAAACCTATCTGATCCCAATGTTTAGCTTACTGAGATTTTTGGCAAAAGCAAAAATAAAAAATAACAGCTAACACACATGAACTAACATGGCCAAGCTGCCAAAAAGGAGAGTGTAAGCATAGGAACGCTGGGGTCACTTTGCTACAGATGGATGGTAGACCAGGTGGTGATATCCTTGACAGGTCAGGAACTCTAGTCTTATTTACCTTTGTAGGTTTATCTAGTGCTTAACAAGAAAAACACTCAATAAATATTTATGAAGTGATGAGGCATCTACAATGCACAACAGAGAGGGCCAAAACAGAATGTTCCTTGTACTCACACCCTTAACCATTACCGGCTGCTAAGATATCTGTACTACTTAAAGAGAACAAAGGCTTAGTGTATTTTAGGTAAGATGAATAGGACTCTGAAATTTGGAGACATTTACAAGGCTATTATCTGAGAACAAGAAACTTTCAAAATTAAAGAACTCTGTAAGATTCAATTTCTCAGAACACCAATGGCCAGTTTACGAAGATTGAATGTTCTTAGTCAACAGCATGAGATATCTAATCACTGGACTTAAATGTAAAAGTATTTATATGAAAGAATTATTTTAAAGAAAGAATTAGAATTCAAAACCATTTACTAGAATATATTTAATTAAAAAATTATTGTCAAATGTAATATTAAAAGCACAACTACTACATATTAATAATATCAATTTGGTTGACTTGGTTATTACTAAGTGAATTATTTAAATGTCATCTTAATTGCCGTTTTTTTTTTTTGAGACGGAGTCTCGCTCTGTCACCAGGCTGGATGGAGTGCAGTGGTGGCTCACTGAAACCTCTGCCTCCCGGGTTCACACCATTCTCCCGCCTCAGCCTCCCGAGTAGCCGGGACTACGTGCGCCCACCACCACGCCCGGCTAATTTTTTTGTATTTTTAGTAGAGACAGGGTTTCACTGTGTTAGCCAGGATGGTCTCGATCTCCTGACCTCATGATCCGCCCGCCTTGGCCTCCCAAAGTGCTGGGATTACAGGTGTGAGCCACTACACCCCGCCCGCCATCTTTAAATGTCTTCCAATAACCAGTGTAGCCAGAACACCCACAAATGTGGAAACAGAATATTAAATGCAATGAGGTTTGTCTTCAAATTATGTAAATTTCATGTTTTCCAAAATCCAAACATATTGCACTGATTTTCTAAAACATCTAAATTCTCTATACTTTAATAAAAATCTGAAGAAGTTAAAAGTCAAAATGCATTAAGATGATTTTACTAAATATTATCATCATTCACTTTCACTTTTAAACAATCCAACTGAGATCAGGACTCTCTAATTAACGACCGGGTGCAGTGGCTCACACCTGTAATCCCAGCATTGGGGAGGCAGAGGCAGATAGATGGCTTGAGCCTAGGAGTTCAAGACAAGCCTGGGCAACATGGCAAAACCTCGTCCCTATTTAAAAAAAAAACAAAAAACAGAAAAATCACCCAGGCATGGTGGTGTGCACCCTTAGTCCCAGCCTCTTGGGGGATAAGGTGAGAGGATTTCTTAAGCCCAGGAGGTCGGGGCTATAGTGAGCTGTGATGGCACCCCTGCACTCCAACCTAGGTGACGAAGTGACACTGTCTCAAAAAAAGCCAACAAAAAAGAATCTCTAATTAACTGATAGAGTAAATGCAATTAATGACACAGAATTCTAAACAAGCTTATATTTATACAATATTCTTGCCTACATGACACCTTGATATTCAAACAGTTCATCTCTCAAAATGGGTTAGCAATAATACAGTCAATGCAAGATGGTGGTTAAGTTCATCACATGCATTATTTCATTTCATACTCACAAACCCCAAGGTAAGCACTGTTATTTTCATTACAGGTAATAAAGAAGGAAAGAAGAGTTGACACCCCTCCACTCTCAAGAGTAATCAAGATCCCCAAAGAGCCAGGCGGAGTGGCTCATCCTGTAATTCCAGCTACTTTGGGAGGCTGAGGCGGGAGGACACTTGAGGCCAGGAGTTCTAGACCAGCCTGGGCAACAGAGTGAGACCTCATCTCTACAAAAAATCAAAAAATTAGTTGGGCATGATGGTGCATGCCTGTGGTCTCATCTACTTGGGAGGCTGAGGTGTGAGGATCACTTAGAACTTGAAGATTGAGGCTGCAATGAACCGTGATTGTACCACTGCACTCTAGCCTGGATGACAGAGCAAGACCTTGTCTCCAAAAGCAAACAAAAATTACCTATGATTTGACTCAATCCATTGAGTCAAACTATATTAAGACAAACACTGAGCACCCAGATTTTGGTTTCTAATATCATTCTCCAATTAAAGAAACCAGGACTCCTTTCAGAAATAGCTGATTCTAGGTCTGGGGAAAGAAAGAAACAAGATGAGCGGTAGCATCTTGCAGTGCCAGGAAGTAACGAAGTGCTTTAAAAAAGAAAAGAAACACTGATGACCAATATTATTGCTCCACTATCTGATGTTTAAAAAAAAAAGAAAGAAAGAAAGAAAGGCCAGGTGCAGTGGCTCATACCTTAATCCCAACATTTTGGGAGGCCGAGGCAGGAGAATCACTTGAGCTTAGGAGTTCGAGACCAGCCTGGGAAACAGAGTGAACCCTGACCCTAAAAAATAACCACAAATAATAACAACAGGCAGGGTGTGGTGGCTCACACCTGTAATCCCAGCACTTTGGTAGGCTGAGACTGGCGGATCACCTGAGGTTGGGAGTTCGAGACCAGCCTGGCCAACATGGTGAAACCCTGTGTCTACTAAAAATACCAAAATTAGCCAGGCATGGTGGCGGGCACCTATGATCCCAGCTACTTGGGAGGCTGAGGCAGGAGAATTGCTTGAACCTGGGAGGCGGAGGTTGCAGTGAACCGAGATCACACCAGTGCACTCCAGCCTGGGCAAAAGAGCAAGACTCCATCTCTAAATCAATCAATCAATCAATCAATCAATAATAATAGTAAATAAAAATAAAATTTTAAAAAATAAAATTAAGGAAAAAAGATAGGAGTATATTAAAGAAACATAGGAGCCAACTGAAAGCACTCCCAAAGGTCAAAGCTAGAACAATTTAAGCAACACAATAAAGTACTATTAAATTATAACCCAAAATGTAAAGTAAATATCCACAAGTTGATACAAATAAGAATGAATGAATGGGCAAGAACAGACAAATCACCCATAGGAAGAATTCCAAATAATTTTTATAGATATTTCACCCTCAAGAAGGTAGAGCATAACACTCTCTTCCTTAAGTATGGGCTGTGTATAGTGACTTCCTTCCAAAGAATACTGTTTGGGAAGAAGGGGGGAAAAAAGAATACCTTCACAGTAGAGAAACCAGACAAACACGACCTCAGCAAGGTAATCAAGGCTAACATCAATGACAAATCATGCTGATAGCATTTTATACTTGATGTGATAAGAATGCTACTTTATTTCTGTCTTCCTCCCAAAACCCATACATGCAGTCTAATGATAATAAAAACATCAAACAAATCCTAATTTGGGGACATTCTATAAAATACCTAACATTCCTCAAAACTGACATGGTCATCAAAAAAAAGGAAAGTCTGAGAAACTGCCACAGCCAAGAGAAGCCTAAGGAGACATGACAACTAAATGTAATGTGGTGTCCTGAACAGGATCCTAGAAAAGAAAAAGAACATTAGGTAAAAACTAAAGAAATCTGAATAATGTATGGACTTTAGTTAATAAGTCGTTAATATTGATGCATTAATTTTGACAAATGTAGCCAATTAATATAAGATGCTACTAATGGGAAAAACTGAATACAGGGCACATGACAACTCCCTGCACTATCTTTGCAATTTTTCTGTAAACCAATTTTTCTAAAATTAAAAAAAAAAACAAAAAACAGCAAACAAAACACAAATGAAGAAAGGGGGAAGTTCAAGTTTATTTTCCTACCTAATTCAAAGCAAGTTATTTAATTTTCTATAGCTATTTGGAAATCTTTCTTTAGAGCACTCCAGGGAGAGAAATTCTTTCAATCTCTTTCTACTACATACTACCATTACTGTTAGTCTGCCCTTACTGAAGCCCAGGTTGCCAGATCAGATTAGAAAACTGTTGGTCTCAATTCATTTTTTTAAAAGGAGGAAGATTTATGAGACTTTTTACTTTGTGTGAGGAAATACAATGCCAAAATAAAGAACTGCTAATGTAGCACTGAGCTACCAGAAAGTATACTAAGAAACAACCCACAGGATCTAAGTTTACATTCAGAGCTCAAAAAAGCCTCAACATCATCTTAGAGTCGAAGAAAAAAGATTTTTTTTTTCTTTGAGATGGAGTCTCACCCTGTTGTCCAGGCTGGAGTGCAGTGGCACAATCTCGGCTCACTGCAACCTCCGCCTCCCAGGTTCAAGTGATTCTCCTGCCCCAGGCTCCCAAGTAGCTGAGATTACAGGTGTGCACCACCACGTCAGGCTAATTTTTGTATTTTTAGTAGAAACAGGGTTTCACCATGTTTGCCAGGCTGGTCTCAAGCTCCTGACCTCAGGTGATCCACCTGCCTCAGGCTCCCAAAGTGCTGGAATTACAGGCGTGAGCCACCACACCCAGCCAGAAAAAGAATTTGTTACAGATTTAACATATGAAGATGATTTTATAATTGTTCATACAACCTAAGTAGCTAAGTCAAAAAGTAAAATAAAAGCTACCCTTTCCAGTGTCAGCTTTAATGTCTAAAAAACTCAAAGTAAAATGAAGTATACAGAATGATCGTTTTATATACAGAAAAGGTTTACTCTCACTGAGAAAGACTTGAAGGATTCTAGCAATTTCTTTCTGACTTCAAATGGAAAAAAGAAATAGATAAATCGGTCGGGCACGGTGGCTCACGCCTGTAATCCCAGCACTTTGGGAGGCCGAGGCGGGTGGATCACGAGGTCAGGAGATCGAGACTATCCTGGCTAACACGGTGAAACCCCGTCTCTGCTAAAAATACAAAAAAAATTAGCCGGGCGTGGTGGCAGGCGCCTGTAGTCCCAGCTACTCGGGAGGCTTAGGCAGGAGAATGGCGTAAACCCGGGAGGCGGAGCTTGCAGTGAGCTGAGATGGCTCCACTGCACTCCAGCCAGAGCAACAGAGCAAGACTCCGTCTCAAAAAAAAAAAAAAAACAAAAAAACCCCACAGAAATAGAAAAGTTATATCTCTATAAATTCCAATGCTACAGAGATTCACAGAAAACACCTGCTCAGAAAAACTGTAACTTTCTAACCTGGAAAAATATCTTCTCAAGCACAGCATATTTTGTAATATTTTACATTATTTATTACAATATTCTGTAATTTTAAAAACTCATAAAACAAACTTCATAGACATTAATTATTACTCATTAAATATGAGCTTTATAGTGTTTGTTATTGTTAAAAAACTTAAGAGGACATTTTGGCTGAACCCTTCTTTCCATGCTACACCCCTCTAGAAAAGATTTACATTTATATGTGATGCAATGCCTTCTGGGTGTTATTTTAATGTGTGATGCAAAAATATGCTTTTCTGTTCCTGTACTGAGACATAGCTGTTTCTGGCTCACATTTATTATGTGCCCTCTTCTGTGATACAATCTGACTGACCTGCAGAATACATCAAGGGCAATCACTGTCACCATAGAAAAGAACAATGGGTTAAAACAATATCCTTAGAGCAGAACTGGAATTACTATTTAAATGAAATTTCAGATTTAATATATCCAAACACTTTAAGTTAAATGCAAAAATTATGTGCTTCCACATATATATAGTTAGAGCTGATTTTGTTTACTGGTCCTCAAAATATTTGGAACCTTGTTTGACTTTCTATATTAAACCTTACGGATTCAACATCTAGAAGATCAATGAGAAAGTAAAATACTGTGGTGTACAGGTGTCCTAAAGCTCTTGTCTGTTCCTATTCCTTTCCTCTCTAACTCCCTTCTCCAACCTGATTAAAAACCTAAAAAGAGCCCAACAGAGAATCCCATGGCCACATACTGAGCATCATTGTAGTCCTAGTGATCCTCCTTTCCTTAGGAGCATTCATTTCTAAAACCTTAATGACACTCTGTCACATTCTTGTGAAAAGGAGATGAAAAACTGCCATTAAAGGCTGTGTTCATTATAATCAGTGACTTCTTAAAAATGTTTGCGTCAAGCAGTGATGTATCTTTGGGATTTCTTTCAGAGTTTGACTCTTTTAGCAGCGTCTTGATTTTTCAGGGAATTTCTGTGCACAGGAAATGAGAAATGCTTGTAATTGCTCAAAACAAAAGAGAACATGGCAACACTGCATTTATGTGTTTCCCATTTTTATTTAAAGTCTGTCAAAGCAACTTACATAGACTTTTATATAAAGGCAAGCTGACACATGAACTATTAAGAACCTCAAACAGTAATAAAATATTATCCTAAAGTAGCATATATTACATGCGAAACACTATAATAAGAATCTACAGATGAACTAGAATCATTCTATTCTATGTATAATGTGAGCAAATGTCACCTAATTTTCTCTCTGTAATCAAAATAGTCTTTTTCCCCAGTAAGAATAGTAATTCCTAGGAATTCCTCATCTTAAAAGCCTGGAGAGACTTCAAAAAATGTCTAAGGAATTGAAAGCCATGATCTAATTCTTACTTTGATCAGTTTTGTTTGTTGGGGACAGGGGGGTATTTTTTTCTGCTAAAAAAAAATAAGTGGGAAAGGAAAATATTGTTCAGTGATGTTCCCCCAAAAGTGTACAATGTTTGGGATATTCAATACAGATATTCTTAAATCTATCGTGATGAATTCACCCAATGTGAAGCCCAAATTTCTTTGGAAACACCGAACTATAAATTAAAGAGTACTTATTTATTCCTTATGAGTTTCTCCCAATTTATGGAACAAAATTCTATACCATACTGTACAAGATAATCTATGTTTAATTAACTTTAATGAAATTAAGCTATTACAAAACTATAAGCAGAAATTAACATTGGGACCACAGAAGTAATCAATTACACAAAAGCTTTGACTACTGTATAGGACACTATAGAGTAGGTTGTAACACAAACCACTTTAACGGGTCTAGTTTATGTTCAGAATGTATTTAGAACTTTTACCCTCTATTTAATAAACTCACAGTTCATTACCATTTAAAATCAAACAAACTGTGCCCATTCAGCAGCACTGCCACCAACTTAACTCCTAAATAGTGGTAACTGACAGTGAACTCTCCACTACCTTGCTGAATTGCCTTACCTCCTGAAAAAAATTTGCTACTTACATTTCTAGGCCACCTACTTTCTGCCACCAATTAGAATGTAGTTTAGACAGTGCAAAGTAACATGAAATGAGCCTAAGCCTTTGTTTCTCAAACTTAGAAAATATATAAACCCCTTAAAAAAAAAGTTCTCTTGAACATCATATCTGTCCAAAAATCCCAATGAGAAACACTGACTTAAGAAACTGAAGTCTCATCCTATAACAAATGTCTTTCATCTATGAGTTATCACTGCAAAGTGTTACCTTTATAACAGGTACGATCACTTTTTAACATCAAAATAAAAATACAAATTTAAGAAATAATTTAAGAACTAAAAAACCTTTCCCTACAAATGGACCCTAGGAGAATGAGGAACTCAGTCTAAGAAAAACCGACCTAATTCAAAATAGAATTTTAAAAGTCTGTTGTTCCTCTAAACATGATATATCCTTATCTCCCCTGACACACACCTCTACCCCTCATGAAAGCAGTATCTTTCCTCTCCTGCACCCCATGACTCTATTATGCCACTCACCTCTTACCTCTTCTATTAAGCCATAGGATCCGTGGGGTCAGGGTCTATACCTGATTCATCTTTGTAAGTACCAGCACATCTTGCACAGTGATTCACAAAAGGCCCTAGTTATTGTTGGCTAAATGAATACATATCAAATATATATTTTTGGCTATTATTTGCTGTCTCTGATTATCTATGCCTTTGTTCCCAATCAGTATCACAGAAAACCAAAAGCTTACAAATCTTTCAATTCAATGTCTACAATATACCTATAAAGTTAAAACAACAATAATACTGACAGATGCAAGTATAGATTCTTTTTTCTTCCTCAACATGAAAAAACAATTACTGACAGGATACCAGGTAAAAGTCAGCAAAAAATACAGGAATAGACATCATTATCACCAGTGCTCTTACAGAGCATCTTTATAAAATGGAGGCAAAAACTCCCTTTCAATCAACCTCCAATATGTTATAATGTAGATTTTTTTAAAAATGCAATGCTAATAAAAATTAGTTGATAAGTATTTTTCATTCAAAAGCCACAAATGTTTGATCTGCATTAAAAAGCTATTAAAAAATCAATTCTAACTTACAATTTACTCAAATACCAGTGGTTTCTTAGATGCTAATAATAAAGCACTATATGAGCTATTACTTTTATTCCTAATATGATTGACATATCTTTTATGAAAGAAAGTCATGTGCACTGCAGGAAATTTAAAAGCCCAAAATGTTAAAGCTCTGAATATAAAATTTAACTAGCAGACTGACTGAAATACTAGATCTCTATTTTTATTCTATTCACTCTTCACTCACCTTCCATTTATTTTCTTGGGATTTGTTTTTTCCCCCCACTCTTATTTTTAATTTTATGGAATAATAAGATACACCCACCTATAGCTCTACATCAGCCAATATTAGACACTTTCAAAACAGCTTGCTTGCTTTATCTCTCTTTCTGTATTTGCTAGGTATTACCTGGTTAGACAGAAAAACAAAGCATTAAATGAAAGTGGTTTTTATGGGACAAAATGTTTTTCCATTACATTACAATGTCTATTATCCTAGTGGTCTTAAAATGAAACTATATTATATTCCTAAACTTCCCTTCAACTGTTTTTGAAGTAGCATAATTTGGAGGTGTTTGGGTAGAAATTATCGGGGCTAACTTTTTAATATTGCAATTATTTATTAAATTGATATATATAATTCAATTGTTTACAACAGTTACTATCATATGAAAGATACTATAGAAACAGAAGTCCTAATGAATTATCTTTGGGATAGCCTGGTCTTCACCTATACTTACTACTGTTATTTGAATGTTAATTTCTGGACCTACTCTATTAGATAGCTAAAGTTAATTAATTCAACTTTAAGTTAAGAGAGAAGATACAAATAGTTGATGTTATTCCCTATGTTTTTAAAATATAAGGTCAATCAATATAAGTACCCACAAATTTTAAATTATTTAAATTATATGAGCATCTGACACTGAGGCAGATTTTCAACTTAACATCTATTTACTTCTTTCAGCTTCCACTGAAGTCAAACACCAAGTAATGAGAAGAGAAACAAAATTTTTAAATCTGTCCTTATCATATTACAAGCACATTAAAGACTTCTCTCTTATTTTCCAAAGAGCTTGAGAAAATGTTGAGCAGCAAAAACTGCATTATTCTCTCAAAAGAAACTACTTTCCTTTTTGATAAACAGTAAACCACATGAGGAAGTTACCACTGAATTACTTCCTGTTACTTGAAAATGTTCTAACTAATACAGCTACCACACGTTTTTAGTTTTTAAAACGAGGGTGGGATAAGTAAAGGGAGGCTTAATTATTAGACAATAATAAAGCAGGCCTAATTTACCATATGGCCAAGACAGCCATTTTTCATTTGGAGGATCTAAGTCCTTTTCAAATTATAATGAAAGAAAAATGTAGAACAATCAAACATGCAGACTTTGTAGAAAAGTGTTTCCTCAGAAAATTGGATACACAAATATCAGAAAGCAAGGGCCATCCATTCATTATGCCTGAAACCAAAGGAGGAAAAAAGCCTACATACAGAATCTGTAAGCTTCATAACTATTGGGATCGTCAAATTTTTAATATTCAATTCCATAATAAATTATTCTAGGTACCAAAAAACTACAGCAGTAAGCAAAGGACTTAATACAATGATATAATCTAAATAAGGTAAATAAGGTACACCAAAAACTCTGAGATAAATGAAGCAACTCTCGAAGAATGAGTTAAAATAGTAATCGCACTTGCTTAAATTAGTATTTATCATTTCTAATGTTTAAAATAAATAAAATACCAAGTCTGAATCAGCCTACAGGTATATTCACTTAAAGATGAATGAATGTGAAAATGTGTGTTCTACACACTTCAACAAGATATAAGACCTACTGTCCAAGATAATTATCCACTAGCAAAATAATTCCTATTTTAATTTTGGGTTATATTCCTTGCTTTTAACAGATCAGCATCTCCAATTCAATTTATAGGAACAATTTTTGTTCAAAATTTAACTGAGGCATCTCAATCTATTAAACGAGGAATATTACTCAATTGAACACTGATTTTAATAAGAATTTTTTTAAGTTAAGGATCTAAAGCAACTACCAATCTAATAAGTAGTTTTAAAAGTTGGGTATGCTCCTATTTTCTGAACTCAAGCAAGTTTGCATTTTTACTTATTTATAATAGCATAAAGAATCAACTTTTAGGCTGCCTCCTTTTCAATTAAGGCTTGTTTACACCTGACAACTATCTTTATCCCAGAACTCTAATGTTCTGCTTTTAATAGCTCAATCTATGTTTCTATCCTAGAAACTGAAAAGGTTTTTTAATTTTGGAGCTTTTTGGTATGTGCCCCTTCTGAACGATAATTACATATTCACAGCAAACTAAATACAATCTTAAGAAGTATGTACAAGAATCTGAAGTAGACTTCTAGAAACATAAAAGTATTATTTGATATAATAAAGACAGTCTGTTTTTCAGATTAAAAAAATACAACAGGAAAAGGAAAATTTTAAACAATTTACTTAATTTTGCCAATTTTCAACATGGTCCCTTTTTTAATCAAGGTCTACATATTTGAAAAGTTGACTATTAAAATTCTTAATGAATTTAAAAGTACTGCTGTTAAAACTTCCCTTTAGCCCATTCAGCCCCTTAACTAATCAAACAAAGAAACAAATATTACAAGACGAAGGCTGACAAAAAATCATAATGAACCTCTCAGATGAGAAACTAATTGGTACTAAGTACACAATGGCTTACATTTAATCCTGTTAATAACCACACAAAAAAAGAAATGAAAGACTCACTTTTCAGTCATCTCTCTGGACCACTGGGCTAAAATAACAGCATGACTAAATCTGACATTGACCCCGTGGCCCTGCTAGGAGTTAAAAGAATTCCTTTGAGTCTTCTGAGGCCTGTTTTCAACTGCTCCAGAAGGGGTGGGCTAGGCATACACACTTGTTAGCCTTCTTTACAGTAACAGGTCAAATTAGAAATGGTCATATACACTGTAATATACACTAGCTCTTACTTTAGACTTGAAGTCTGTACCTTACAACAAAAGTACAAGAAAGAACAATAAAATAGTAACACCTGGATGATAGAATGTCATAGATGGATCATATATAACTGGAAAGGTGAGAACGTATCAAGGCAGTAACACATTCCTGAAAGGAAATTTATAAAACAATAAGAATATTATCTAAATCAACAAGACTGAAATTGAGACAAAGTACCAAGATGGATCACTAAACTTTAAAAAAGAAAAATATCATGTATAAATTTTTCTAGATTTATCACAAAAGAGTTTTCAGCAAGCTTACTAAATTAAAATACATTAAATTATTTTGTGAAGTTTTGCAAGCTTTTGTGACATGAACCCACAAATAACATATGATGTTAGGATGATATAAATCTGCCTGAAAGCAGTTACTTGTTCCCTTTCATCCCTTTTCAAAATACAACTTATGATTTTCAACAAAGAAGATATTAGCATTCACACCTTCCTCTGTAACTAGTGATTGAAAATAATTATGGATATGGATTTACTATACTTGACCAGATTTCTCTCATTCTTGTATTAGTACTTTTAAATTAAGTATATTTTCTTAAATAAAATAAAATGCTAGGCCTTACTCTTATTTCACAAAGTCTAATCACTGAAAATGTAAGTAAGCCAATCACTAGCATATTTTATGTATTTCCCTTAAGTTCTTTCAATTTAAAGTATGGCTCCCGTTAATTTACGTCAACATTTAAAATTAAAAAGTCTAAATTTTCTGAATACTGAAAGCCAACAGATGTCCTTACAAGAAATAAAATTATTACACACCAAGGATATTTTAATTCTAAACTGTCTGCCGCAAAATATCAAAATTAATTTCACATAATTTAATTTCTGTACTCATAATCCTTTTATAATTTTTAGTTTACATATTAATAAAATCAAAATATCATAATCAAAAAATTACTTCACTGAACACATAACTTAATTGAACATTAGCAATCAGCCTCGAGGCACTCTTTTCTTAATTTGTAAGGGCTTAAATTTAGGATAAAAATAAGAGTTAAAATTTTAATATTTATCATAACAAAATTTTGTGAAATCTGTCAAATTTGAAGTAATCTCTTAGAAAAAAAGAGTTCAAGCACTCTACGTTTTGAAAATCTGTAATGGCATAGATATTTCCACCTGTTAGGTGGCGGCATTTTGGGTAGGGGGTTTTCTTTCCCAATTCTCATTCTGTTCTCACCTCCTATTTTCTTTCATACACAGAATATTATTTTTCAGGAACTACGAACTATCTACTAGAACACCGAGACATAAAGGCAATCAGCAATATGAGAATTACAAAATATTTCACAAACAAATCCCAATTTAAAACTCTAATGCAGAGCCTACTTTTCTGAACAGAAAACGCTAAAGCTAAAACAGTTTCCACGCAACACAATGTAATTTTACCATCATTGGCTTACCTTCATAGCATTTTTTGGCCTAAAAAAATCATGAATAAAAGTATTTCGATCATACTTCAATAGTTACCATACAGGTTTAGCCATTCAGTTTTAAAAGAATCTTCCACCCACTGCCAAAAGAAAAAAGGAAGAGGAAGAACAAAAAAGAAATCCTACAAAACGAGAGTTTCAAATAAAGACTGGAAAAGGCATCAAGCAATCATGACCTTTAAAAAAAAAATTGTCTGACAATTGTCTGTGAAGTTTTTTTAACAGCATAAAAGCACTTCACCAGTTTCTTCTTTCCTTAATAAATTTCAAGTTCGGCTCTACAGTGTTCTCCTAGTAAGGCCACACACAATAAAACCCAGGCACTGAGCTTTAAGAATTAATAACATTTTCCACGAACATTTGCTAGTAAAACATGCTAACAGAATTAATTCCTTGTTATTTTTAAAGCTGTATACTTCTGTTGGACCACTTTTATATCACAGGTTATACCTTGATTTGATGTGCTGAATACTAGAAATATATTTTAGGTTATTCAAGTTTCTCAATAATTACATATGAATATCAATTATAAAATTACAATACACCTTTTAAAATACTTTAAAAGGAGGAATAGTTTTACAAACTCATGAAGCCTATATAACTATAATCAAAGACTAGAAATTCAAAAGATTATTTTAATTGGCATGGACAAACAACAGCTAATTAGACTATCAGGATACATTTTCTTCTTAGTTTGAAACTCACTGATTTAAAAGAAATTGCTTTTTGAGAAGTCATTTGATAGAAATCAAAATGTGAAGCACAGTAACTAGAAAATAATAGCAAAAATAAAGAAAACAAAATTCAATGATGCTATTTATTTCTTGGTAATTACAAATTCTATAAATCAGTTTCATATTCTAAGAGCACTACATCCACAAGAAAAAACCTGTAATTAACAGACACAGAAAGAAGGCTTGCCCTTACCCCAATTCCCAAAGTCCTTAACAGATATGCAGAAAGAGCATTTTAGACACCTCACAACCATGAGGTACAATCAAAGGAAAAAAATCTAAAATTATTAATTATCAAAATTACTCTTTTCCCTATGTATCAACATTACAAGGTTTTTTTTAGCCTATTTACAGTATATCATAACATCATTTTTCCTGATTAGGAAATTATTAGAATTTTTTAAATGGTAAAAAGGATCTCTTTATTATTTTATGTTAATTTAGCAAATACAAAATTCAGTTAAATGTTACTGTATGACACCAGCCTCACAAAACAACTGTAAAACAGAAGTAGCTTTGATCACAATAATTTGATATTTTAAAGCCTGTGAATATTAATGAAAAAATATTTTGGGGAGATGTTGGGAACAGAGACCTCTACTTTTGACTTCTAACAATAACTAAATTGCCATAGCACTTCAAGGACTTAAATTCAGCAGTACAAAGTTATGTTATAAAACAAAATTCCTCACATTTGAAAGTATGCAAGTTTTGCCAAGAAAAAGCAAACTCTTAAGATCTGGTCAAAGTAAAAATGTGTCCACCGTCAAAGGCATGTTCATATGCTTATTTGAATATATACACACTGTGGACCACAAAATTGAATGTAAGAGAAATCACATTATCAGATTACAACAGATTTCTTGTAAACAACTACTTAATATACAATAATATTTAAATTAAAGATTTATAACAGTACCACTTACTGTTAATTAGTATTTCTAGTATTAACTTGGTTACACTATAAAATAACATTTTTATTCCAACAGTAAAGTGACCATGAATACAAATTTTCAGGATTAATAATTTCCCATCAATTTCATGCATAACACTAACATATCTTTTCAGCTTCTCAATGGCTCAAAAATTAAATTGCTTCTGTTATTAAGAAAACAAAACCAAGAACAAAATTAGTTTTCCCCTGCTAGTCCCCATGGATCTAAGTACCACACAATAATTCTTTCCAATCTGCAAAACAAAGAACACACAAATAGATGGGCTAAGGAAGAAAGATCAAAACAAAGAAACAAATTTAAAAAAAAAAATTCCCCTTTTTCTTTAGCAATCAACAAAATAACAAAAAAGAAAAAGTGGAAAAGTCACCAAGAATATATGACCATGTAAGCATGGGCACTCTTGCAGAAAACCAAGTCTGCAACCGAAAGCCATGGGAAATTTAAATTAGAGCAAACGGCCACAATAGGCAGAGAATCTGTATGGATAAAAAGGGACTGCTGAGGTTGCAGGTATACTACTAAAGATCTTTTGAGATTTCCAAACAAATTTTATTAGTTTTAATAAATTCTAAAAATAAGAAATAAGTATGCGCATTATACTATAAGCATTAAATTTTTTTCCTTTTAATCAAAATACACATGTATGTGATATATCTAAAAGAAGAGGAAGAAAAGATTCTCTTTGCTTAATACTGCTTTAGAAATTTGCTTCACAAACCTATCTCCTTCTATGTTTAAATAATCTTAACGGAATTTAAAAATTTAACACAATGAAGGCCCTTCACTGCTGATGTTAACCTAACTGGTGGCACAATCACAGAGTTGAATTGCAATCGACTTGAACTCCTCTGACTACCGGGTACATAATTATACACCAAAGTCAGTTTAACTAACCAACATGGTTTGAAAATTAGATGACCTGTGGTACAACACTTACGTTTCTTCTGTTAGATCTGATAATAAAACCTCCCAAACTGAATCATCTCAAACAGAAAAATAAAGGGATTAATACAACTTTAAAATGTCATGGCATCAAGAACACAAATATTCCACAACCAAGTAAGTACCTGATGGATCTCTACCACTCACCTATCCAGAAACTTTTAAATTGAATATTTTGAATGTTTAAAAGTATTTCATACACAGAAGAACCAATAATACCAGGCTAAAATATGATTATACAACACATTTACAGCAATATTTAAGTTATATTTATTCTCCCACAAAATTTGTATCATTTTTTAAGCAAACCAAAAGGGCTGAGGTGTTGAATGAAGAGCAAAATACTCAATTATATGGGAGTAAGGATGTCTTTCAAGTTCTTATCAGAACAACGAATTTTTATTAGCTATTAAAATCCTCCTTAAAAGTAGGAAGTAATGCTATTTCTAAATAAAACCATTGACAAAAGTTCATTTGTGTTAAATCAGACCATTTAATACTAAAAACTGGCTAGTACAGGATTAAGGACTAACTTACAGGATTGATTGTGGTTGCACATCTTCTCTTTAAAGAAAATCTCCTTTCTTTAGTTAAATGTATATGTATGTCATATTCTTCCAAATCCTGAATTCCTCACCTGGCTTTTTTAAAGCATAATTTGTATTACATTAGCAATATCATATTACCAGTCATAACCAGTCTATTTCCTATCTTAAGAATTCTCATTAACTACCAATATAGAAAAAGTATTGAAAAGTTTTCAAGAGTTGGAGCTTTCCCTCCCTATGATAGATAATTCTGTTGCAAGCACTATTTAGTTACAAAACAAATATGACTTAAGGGAACTGCCAATAAAAATATTTTCCCTTAATAAATACCTCTTAAGCTACTTAACATCCATTCTTTCACACTGAGGTGGTTATAAGTTAATTGTATATTTAAGCAAAAGCGAGGGAGGGGAAGTACAAATGATTTTCACTATCACAGATTTATGCTGTCTTCCCTTAAAACGTGTTTGCAAAACACGAGATTAAGAACAGATGCTCTCAAGTCCACAATAAACTAATTTTCAAAACTGACAAAAGTTGGAATTCTAAGGTAAGAATTTGTTATAGAAATAAAAGCTATACATTTAGCAGACAAGATCCACTTTAAAATAATTATTACATTTAGAATCCAAATCTACACAACAGAAATAATTTTTATCTCTAGAATTACATCTCCATCCAGAACCAATGCTGTTAGATCAAGATTCAAACTAAAAAGCAAGTCATACTCCTTTAAGTATTCTTAAGCATATGATTTAAAAAGAAAATGTGACATAATACATGGTGGATGCCCAATTAAAATATTTATTTCTTAACTATTTGCACAATCAACAAATATCTGGCAAGTAACTCAAAATGCCAAAAGTTAACCATGCCAGTATCTTTAATTTATAACAAAACAAAGATAAATAATAATGAAGAGATTTAAAACGTTAGGCTGAAAACTTCCATGAAGTCCATACTTTTGCTTCATTAATAAGTCTTAACCACCAAGGAAGCATTTATAAGAGATTATTACTTTGAAATTAAATTTAGTAAAGTCTTAAAAACAGGATCTCCTACTTACAGAATATGAATTATCTGAACAGCCTCTACTCTAAGAAGGGGAAATAATGATTAAATGTTCTCCATTCTATATTTCTTTGGAAAAAAGTTTTACTGTCTAATCATATGTAGCTCACATCAAATTTACTTTCTGACCATAAAAATATACTGTCTATATAAATCATACTTATCTTCTTAGATAAGTGATCACTATATGCAATAATTATTTTTATAATAAACAAAAGCTACAAGAAAATTATATATAAACACTCTTCACTTAAAAAGACATCAGGATTCAAGCTCTTCTGACAAGGAAGAAAATGTTGCCCATCTAATTTTATGCTTTTCCATTCTAAAAAAAAAAAAAAAAAATACAAACCTGTAGATAAGGTGAGTGACATTTTAATGGCAACTAAACTAAGTCATTAGTTCAATAAATACATATCATGGTATTTCTGTTTAAGCAGTTTCCAATGAATTTAGTATATCTTACATGAAGATCAAATCAGTTACTAGAAGAAATGTATTTTTTTAAAGTAAAATTTAATTCTCTCCCTGGGTACTTAACATTGTTGAAAAGAAAACTGTAAATGAATTTAGATTAAAAGTCATAAATTAACTTTGGAAGACTGCCTCCCTATGTTGCTGATCTACAGTGAAATCACAGAAATTAGTGATATACAATATCAACATTCCAAAATGTTATTAAAATCCAACCCAAAGCTGCATGGGATTTCTGGGGTTTCTAATGAGATTTTCATTCTGCTGAACAATGGCCATAAAAAGCTTTCTTCAAACCTCGCTCCATTCACAAGTAAAGCTGAAACTGAACATTTTTATTTCTTCTCTCCCTATGACAACTTCACCATGGAACAGTGAATAACACAGCTCAAGTCATTATGCTAATTAGAAATTAAATAAAAAGATGCCCTAACAATAGTTAAGTGTAAGGTGACATGCTACAACTAAAGACACAGTTCAAAAGCAGCTTTAGGAACTGTGCAGTACAGGCTTACAAAAGCTGAAAACATCAGAGAGGGAGCTCCTTGATGCTCCTGGTGACTGGAATTCTAGCATGTGGCCATTTTTCAGTTATAAGGCAGAAATTAAACTATACATTAATGAGAAGTATGTCACATGGCAATACACTCTTATGACCTGTTAGGGTATAAAATGTCTCAAGAAACTACTGACATTAAGACGATGAATGCCAAAGGAGGGGAAAAAACACCACCTTAATGATCTGAGAAGTTACTGAAGGCAAAGTTTAATGTATTGTTTCCAAACTAACAAAATAATGATCCTTTCCTATGTTAAAAGATTATAAGGAAGAACATAACTATGAGGAGTGAAAGTTGTACCTTAAGACCTGCTCTACTTTGAACAGCCCTGCACAAAATACACGTTAAACAGCTGGTCAGGTCCTTTGACTAACCTCTGGTCCAATTAATTTTAAAAGAAAAAAGGAGGTATGTACGCAAAAAACAGGGAGAAAGCAATGAAATAAAATTATGACTAAGAAATCTTCCAACAGTATTCTGAACATATACAAAACATAAATAATCCTTTCTTGTTTAGGCAGAGGTGGCTTCTAAAAAGATATACTATTAAAACATTTCATCACATCCAGCCACATATAAACATGAATGGCACATACAGTCTTCAGTTTCTACTAAGGGCTTCACCTTCTATTTTTAGCTGCATTTAACCTGAACTTCAAGTCCTACCCATTTTTCGAAACTCAAATTCAAAGGGTTCCTTTTCAATTCAGTCTTGTACTTTGCCTATCTACTTTTTAATCTTTTTAAAAAATCTACTGCATTCACCTGGAATGATTACGTATTCTGCTGGAGCATCTCATATATTTGTAGAAATGCATTTAACTCTGGTTTTACAGTGAACTTTCCATACTGTCATGCATTTTAGGATTTCTAAAGGCAAAAAGTACATGGCAATTTTTGAATCCCAATACCTTAATGGTACAGTGGCTTGTACGTTGTCAGCACCCAGTAAATAATATTTGGAAAGATTTTAAGATTTCAGAATTAAGTTCAATGTCATAAACTAGCAGATCATAAAATGTCACCAAATTAAATTTCTTTAAGGATAGCACCATACTAGAGACATGTTGTTCAAAAGCAACTTGGGGCCAGGCTCGGTGGCTCATGCCTGTAAGCACAACACTTTGGGAGGCCAAGGTGGGAGCTTGAGCTCAGGAGTTCAAGACAAGGGTAGGCAACATGGTGAGACACTGTCTCTACAAAACAAAACAACACAAAACAAAAAAATCAAGTGGGGCCAGGGCGGTGACTCACACCTGTAAATCCCAGCACTTTGGGAGGCTGAGGTGGGCAGCTCGCTTGAGCCAAGAGTTCAAGACCAGCAACATGAGCAACATGGTGAACATGGGCAAAATGGTGAAACTCCATCTAACTCCATACAAAAAATTAGCAGGGCATGGTGGCCCACATCTGCAGTCTCAGCTACCTGGGAGGTTGAGGTAGGAGGATCACTTCAGCCCGGGAGGTCAAGGCTACAGTGAGCCATGACTGCAATACTGTACTCCTGCCTGGGTGAGAGCAAGACAGAGAGAGAGAGATTGCAGGTGGGGCAGGGGTGGGGTGGGAGAGAGACACCCTGTCTGAAAAACAACAACAACAACAAACAACAACAAAAAAGTGGAAGCTATAAGCTCATGTTTGCCACAATGATCATGAACCTATCGTGTAACTATGAAGACTTTTATCAAAATATTTTCCTGTGACATTAAGCCTACCCAATATCTCATTTTTCTTTATGACTTTAATAAAATAAAAAGTATTTTTTACCAATAAAGAAATTAAGTTACCCAAAGTCAAAGTTGGCCAACTGCACAGCTGTAACAGACCCAATAACAACCACTAATTGAGAACCTATGACCATTACACCTCATTCAGAAGTGACCTTTCAAACTAAGAACTGAGAGATAAGTAGATATATCAGCCAGGCAAGGTAGAAACTAATCCACACAGGAAAAGAAAAACAAACAAAAAAACACATATGTAAAGACCTAGATCAAACAAAATGATTTACTAGAAAACCTAAAATTCAAATAGGTAACCCACTCTATTCAAATTTTAATTAGATATCCAGTCTTGGTTGAGTGCCTAATGAATGCCAGGAATTCAACAATGGCCTCTAGATGAGTTCTTCATCCTTTGAAATTATATCCAAAACTTCTGTGTGTATAGTTTTGGGAGAAAAAGGGATTTAACACAAAATAGTTAAAACACTTTCTGCCATAAGTGTTGAAGCCATAATTTTACTTCAGTTTCAAAAGCCATTTACCTTAGTCAAGCAATTATTTCACTTTAAATAATACTATGTAAAGAGCTCTACTCTATACACAAAGGCAGAACTGCAAATAAATTTACCTAAGGGAAAAAATAAATAAATAAACAAATTTACCTACAATTTGTTAGGTATCCCCGATGTGCCAAATGCTGACGAACTAAAGGGGTTGTGTGCCAAATTACACATACTGAAGGAGCTCTACATTGACACAAAATTCTATACCATAACAGTCATAAACCAGGAACTAATATGGTTTCTTCAACTCTTAAAAATACCATATTGTTCCTTTTGCAGAAGGCATTTTTCTTTTTAAAACCTGAGCCTATTAATTTTTTGCTAAACCTAAATATTTCAAAATTACCAAATGATAAAAAAAATTACAAACAGGAATAAGAACTTCTTATTTCTTCTGAAAGTGGAATTAGACAATTATTTATTTGTTTAAAATATATTTTAAGACTGTAACAAGTGCATTAGTCATCAACTATTTTAAATTACTATTCATTCACTTTCAAAAAGTATTTATTACATGCCTAATGTGCCCAGCTCAGATTAGTGTAGAAGATACAAAAATAGTTCATAGTCCTAGAAATAAGAAATATTAAATATCTTTACATAGGACTATGGATTGATCGCCAGGATATACGGCTAAGAGAAAAAAATAAGGTTAGAGAAAAGAGTAGATAGTATGCCACTATTTATTAAGAAAGAGGGCCGGGTGTGGTGGCTCATGCCTGTAATCCTAGCACTTTGGGAGGCCGAGGTGGGTGGATCACCTGAGGTCGGGAGTTTGAGGCCAGCCTGACCAGCATGGAGAAACCCCCATCTCTACTAAAAATACAAAAATTAGCTGGGCATGGTGGCACATGCCTGTAATCCTAGCTACTCGGGAGGCTGAGGCAGAAGAATCACTTGAACCCGGGAGGCGGAAGTTGCGGTGAGCTGAGACTGCACTGTTGCACTCCAGCCTGGGCAACAAGAGCGAAATTCCGTCTCAAAAAATAAAACAACAACAACAAAAAACAACCAACAAAAAACAAGGGCAAGAGTGTACAAAGATATACACATGTAAGGACAAACCAACAATTTTCTCTTAATGATTACTCATAAGGGGAAGGGCAGGAACAGGATGGCGACTGGACAGAAGGTTTGCCTTCTCTGGATAGATTTTATCATGTTTTGCTGATTTGAATCTGGAACCTTATACACATTTTACATGATTATAAAAGAAAACCAAATTTTTAAAAGATAATTCCAAAAAATAACATATCAAAAGCAAAGTGAAACAAATGAACCTGTGTGTCAAACTGATGATGTAACAACAGAGAGAAAATCTGAATTTAATCAAGCTTCTAGATCTAACTACCAATTCACAGGAAAGACAGAGGACAGTAGAACATGTTAAGCAATACTATAAAATTCAGACCATTGGAAATTCTAGAAGACAAAGAATCTAGGTATTACAACAAATTACAAGAAATTAAAAAAAGGAAGAGATTAAGGGGAACCTATACATTAAAGGATACTTAAGTTTAACAGCCAATTACAATACCTGGATTGGATCGAATTCAAATAATCTGTAAGAAAAAAAAATTAGGAGCCAGTGTAGGAAATCTGAACACTAGCTGGGTATGTGATGATGAAAGAATTACCGGGAATTTGTTTACCTATGGTAATATGATTAAATATATACATATATATATATAGTACGTTTCAGTCGGGCACGGTGGCTCACACCTGTAATCCTACCACTTTGGGAGGCCAAGGCCGGTGGATCACTTGAGGCCAGGAGTTCAAGACCAGTCTAGCCAACATGCTGAAACCCCAACTCTACTAAAAATACAATAACTGGCCAGGCACGGTGGCTCACGCCTATAATTCTGGCACTTTGGGAGGCCAAGGTGGGCAGATCACCTGAGGTCAGGAGTTCAAGACCAGCCTGGCCAACATGGTGAAACCCCGTTTCTACTAAAAATACAAAAATTAGCTGGGCGTGGTGGCTCGTGCCTGTAATCCCAGCTACTCGGAAGGCTGAGGTGGAAGAATCACTTGAACCTGGGAGGCGGAGGTTGCAGTGAGCCAAGATAACGCCACCGCACTCCAGGCTGGGTGACACAGCGAGACTCCGTCTCAGAAAATAAATAAAAATTTTAAAATTTTTAAATTTTAAAAAAATAAAAAATAAAAATACAAAAATTAGCCAAGCATGGTGGCAGGTACCTGCATTCGCAGCTATTCAGGAAGCTGAGGTGGAAGAACTGCTTGAACCCAGGTGGCAGAGGTTGCAGTGAGCCAAGACTGCACCACTGCAATCCACCCTGGGTGACAAGAGCAAGACTGTGTCTCAAAAAAAAAAAAAAAAGAAAATATTCCAGACCAAAAAAAATTGCATGTCTACTTAACGTGTATATTTTTCTTCTCATTATGACTCCTTAAATACAATATAACAGTTATTTACATGGTATTTACATTGTATGGGTATGTTAAGTAATCCAGAGATGACTTGTCCAACTCACAGCCATGAAGGCTTTTGAATGTGGCCCAACACAAATTCGTAAACTTTCTTAAAACAATATGAGATTGTTTTGTTAATTTTTTTCTGAGACAGAGTCTCTCTCACTCTGTCGCCCAGGCTAGAATGCAGTGGCACGATCTCGGCTCACTGCAACCTCCGTCTCCCAGGTTCAAGCGATTCTCCTGCCTCAGCCTCTGAGGCTGGGATTACAGGTGCACACCACCACACTGGGCTAATTTTTGTATTTTTAGAAGAGACGGGGTTTCACCATGTTGGTCAGGCTAGTCTCGAACTCCAGACCTCGTGATCCGCCCGCCTCGGCCTCCCAAAGTGCCGGGATTACAGGCGTGAGCCACCATGTCCAGCTGGTAATTTTTTTTTAGCTCATCGGCTACTGTCAGTATTAGTGTTTTTTATGTGTGGCCCAAGACAATTCTTCCAATGTGGCCCATGGAAGCCAAAAGATTGGACACCCCGGACTTAAAAGTATACGAGAGGATGTAAATAGGTTATATGCAAATATTCCACAATTTTATATCAGGGACTTGAGCATCCATAGATTTTGGTATCCATGGGAAGTCCTAGAACCAATCCCCCACAGACACTGAGGGACAAACATGAGTGCACACTTGTATACAAATGTGTATACATGCATACACACATGTGCACACATGATGTGTATACACACACATACACATACATACATATATGAATGACTTGATGTCTGATGAGCTTCAAAATAACAGAGGGGCACAGAGTTATAGATAGGAAAGATTAGACATAAATTGGTAACTGTTGAAGCTGGTTTATGGGACACTGAAGTCAATTATAACATTTTATTTTTGTATATTTTTATATTTCCACAATAAAAAAAGTACAAGAAAGAGCTAGCAGTTACTCCTAGAACTAGTAATATCCCTTCCCTAACCAGGAAAATAAGTAGCTATTATGGCTTTATTGTCACATGTCATCATTTGGTTGTCTTACATAACAATCCTTTCCAAACTTGAGATCCCCCTCACAAATTACTAAATATGCTGACTTCCTTCGGTGCATCTTTTCTTCCACCAGGAGATCTGCCTTTCTAATATATGAGAATTACAAGTCACTCCTGCTGGGGATAATTAAAAAAAAAGGAAGGGGCGGGAATCAAGAAGGAAAACAAACGATAGAACATGCATAGTTTTTATAAAGAAGGCTTAGGAAAGAATAAAGGAAGTAAAGGAAAAGAGGCTCAGACCTCAGAAATAAACTCCTACATCCCTCAGTAGAGAGAGCTGAAAGTCATATGTAATAGGCACTGAAAGCCTATGTTTTGACATGAATTTACTACAGGCAAAACCACCATCATATATCTATATGCACCGAGGAAGGCTAGACTGTTAAGTGTCACGTATATACAGTCTCAATGGAGCCTCAGGAAGCTAATCAACAACCTCAAATCACAAAATCAGAAAAGTGTTGAACATTTAGAAGAAGAATAGAAAGGAAAAAAAAATGCCTCTGAGTTGTGGTATTAACTGTCAGTAGAGCAAAACAAATGTGTACGCCCATTTTCTTTTTTTTCTTTTTCTTTTTGAGACAAGAGTCTCACTCTGTCGCCTAGGCTTGAGTGCAGTTGCACAATCTCGGCTCACTGCAACCTCCGCCTCCCAGGTTGAAGCAATTCTCCTTCCTCAGCCTCCCAAGTAGCTGGGATTACAGATGCTTGCCAGAATGCCCGGCTAATTTTGCATTTTTAGTAGAGACGGGGTTTCACCATGTTGGCCAGGCTGGTCTCGAACTCCTGACCTCAAGTGATCCACCCACCTCAGCCTCCCAAAGTGCTGGGATTACAGGTGTGAGCCACCATGCCCGGCCTGTATTTTTTTTTTCTTTTTTTTTTTGACAGAGTCTCGCTCTATCACCCAGGCTGGAGTGCAGTGGCGCTATCTCGGCTCACTGCAAACTCTGCCTCCCAGGTTCACACCATTCTCCTGCCTCAGCCTCCTGAGTAGCTGGGACTACAGGC